>NC_000007.14:148246258-148397773 GCF_000001405.40 Homo sapiens
TGTGTCTGCTACGTTGTTTTCTTTAATATCAAGGACTTTAACTATATTACAGTTAAAATCAATAGAAATGTAACCTTTTCAACCACATAAAATGAGTTCATTTTTATTATTATTCTTTTTCTGCTGTTACAGTGCTGTGATTGCAAAAGCAACCGGGTCAACTTAAGCTTTATTGAAAGACCATTAAAGAAACAAACTCAAACTCATTTAAATACTGAAGCTGGTGCATTAAAAAGATCAATAAAGTAAAAGCAACTGGGGTTGCTTTACTTAAACACCCCACATACGAGAATCATTCCACAATCACAATTTGAGCAAACCTATAAAACTAGGAGACCAGCCAATAAAGAAGAAAACGCTGTTTCATTACTAGGTTTAGACCCATAAAGCCCTTAACTTTAGTCTGATTAGACATACTGCATTTAAATTTTCTCTCAGTATTTTAAAACATCATCCAGCAAAGACTTATTGATCAATGAATGTCATTTACTTAGGAAAGCCATTAGCTCCCTGAGTTAGGGGAATGACTCAGTGGTAGAAAGTGCAGTTTCATTTATTTAAAAATAAACACAAGATTAGGCTACAGTGAAGGGAAGTTCTAGACTCACAGGGAGTCAGGAAATTTTCTTTCTATCCTTGCTGAGCGTGGTATCTTGAACATAGTTATTTGTATTCAATTGAATGTTTACTACCAATTCTGTGGCCATGGATTAGACACAAACCTCTTTGTGTGTGCCTCAGTTTCCCCAGAGGTAGAACGCATTAATATCCTTTTCTCCCTCTTTCTCTGGATAAGAAAACAAAAATGATTGACACAAACCTCTTCAAGTTCTTCCTTAAAAACTATAATACAAACTATAAACCTTAGTGGTAATATGTACTTAGAATAATTTTAGAATCAGATTGGTCCTTATTGGCCATGAGTCCAACCCTTGACCAGTCTCTGCTTATATTACTAGTTATGGAAAACATGCTATTTTTCTTCTTAAAATACCATTTATTGTGTTTTTCTAATTATACATTTAAATATATTTATTATAGAAAGTACAGAAGAGAACACAGAGGAAAATCAGGTTTGCTTGTGAGTCCCATTTAAAATCAGCCCTCGACCCTTCTCCACCAAACCCGTCTTGCTTACTCCAGGGCATTGCTGAGCAGTTCTCTGTCTTCGTTCTCTACTGACTCATTCCCATCAGCAAATAAGCATGCAGATATTTCTCTTACTTTAAAACAAAAATTTCTCCTGAGACCACTTTCCCCACATCTTTGTTTTTCTTTGCAATAAAACGCCCGGCAATAGTTATCTATGCTTGCTGTTTCGGGTCAGCTTCTCCCATTCTCTCTCTCTCTCTCTCTCTCTCTCTCTCTATTTATTTATTTATTTATTTATTTATTTATTTATTTATTTTTTTGGAGATAGAGTCCCACTCTGTCGCCCAGGCTGGAGTGTAGTTGTGCAATCTCAGCTCACTGCTACCTCCACCTCCCAGGTTCAAGCGATTCTCCTGCCTCAGCCTCCCCAGTAGCTGGAATTACAGGTGTGTGCCACCACGCCTGGCTAATTTTTGTATTTTTAGTAGAGATGAAGTTTCATCATGCTGGCCAGGCTGGTCTCGGACCCCTGACCTCAAGCAATCTGCCCACCTCAGCCTCCCAAAGTGCTGGGATTACAGGTGTGAACCACCATGCTCAGCCTCTTTCTTCAGTCAACTTTACTGAAATGTAAATTGCATGCAATGAAATTTACACACTTTAAATGTACAGACTGATGAGTTTTGACAGACGTGCACACCCATGTAGCCACCACCACACTCAAAATTTGGAATATTTCTAATATCCCAGAAGGTTCCCCTGGGCCCCTTTCCCACCCACCATTGCCCCCAAGCATTTACTGATCAAATTTCTATTTCTATAAAGTCACAGATTAGTTTTACCTGTTCTATAATTTTTTTTTTTTTGAGACAGAGTCCCGCCCTGTCATCTAGGCTGGAGTGCAATGGCACAGTCTCAGTTCACTGCAACCTCCACCTCCCAGATTCAAATGATTCTCCTGCCTCAGCCTCCCAAGTAGCTGGGACTACAGGCACATGGCACTACACCCGGCTAATTTTTGTATTTTTAGTAGAGATGAGGTTTCACTATGTTGACCAGGCTGGTCTTGAACTCCTGACCTCATGATCTGCCTGCCTCGGCCTTCCAAAGTGCTGGGATTACAGGCGTGAGCTACCACGCCCGGCCTACTTGTTCTATAATTTTAAACAAATGTCCAGCTCCTTTCATTCTGCATAATGATTCTGAGGTTCCTTCTTCTTGTCGTGTGTATCTGTGGTTGTTTTTTTAATTGCTGGGTGGTAATACACTTATGAATATACCCCCATGCATTTATTCATTCACCTCTTGATGGATATGTGGATCATTTTGGGGATATTATGACTACACCTGTTAGGAACATTTGCATACACATGTATAGAGCAGACTTTTTTTTATTTCTTTCAAGTAAATATCTAGGAATGAAATCAATGAGTTTATGGTAAGTGTATCTTTAACTGTTTTTTGATGTAATATTCCCTCTAGGAAGACAGCAGAATTCCAGTGACTCCACGTAGTCACTAGCACTTGATATTGTCAGTCTTTTTAATTATAGCCATTCAACTGGTGTGTGGTAGTATCTCATTTTGGGTTTAATTTTCATTTCCCTGATGACTGATGATGTTTAGCGACTTTTCAAGTGCTTATTGACCACTGGTAAATCTTCTTTCGTGAAGTGTCTGTTCAAGCCTTTGGCCCCTTTTTAAAATTGGATTGTTTGCCTTATTATTATGTTATAAGGATTCTTTACGTATTCTGGATACAACTCCTTTGCCAGATGCATGTACTGTGAATATTTTATCCTCATTTTTTCTTATTCCCAATCCCAGCTGGGCTGCTGTCCACCACTGCTTAAAGCTACTCTTATGGATACTATCAATGACCTTCTCACCACCAAACCCACTGGCTACTTCACAGTTCTCCTGCTGCTCCACTTAAAGGCAGCATCTGAAACCAGGGAGCCCTTGGCTTTTAGGGAACACTGCTCCTGTCCTCCTTCTCCCTCATGGGCCCCTTTTGCTCTGTCTCCTTCACTGTTTCTCTCCTTCCTGACCTCCTTCAGTGGGCGTGCTTCCAGTGCTTTACCATTTGTATTCACTCCTGTGATGATCTCATCCAATGTCGTGCTCTTAAATTTTATCTCTGTGCCTCAAACTCCAAATTATTATCTCAACCCAAACCTCGCCATGAACTGCCGACTCACACACCAAACTGACTCCCAGATATCTAACTGATTCTTGATGTCTGATAAACACTCCGAACACAATATCTCCAAATCTGACCTCCTGATCTGCCCCTTCCCACAACCTGCCCTGCTTATAGCCTTTCCAATTTCAGCTGATGGCAACTCCATCCTTCCAGCTGGTCAGGATTAAAACCTTGGAATATCACTAGAACATCACTCACTGGTTCTCACAGCTCACATCCGGTTTTTCAGAACCTCATGCTGGTTCTACCCTGAAAACATCCAAATTCTGACCAGCCTCCCACCTTGCACATCTGCTGCTCGGGCTCCAGACTCCATCCTGTTCTGCAGAGGCCTCCTGACGGGTCTCCAAGCTTCCTCCCTTGCCCTTGCAGGAGCGTCTCTGACATCACTACCCCATCTGTTTAAAGTACGAGTTCTCTGCTCAACACCCACTGACAGTCCTCGTTTCTCTGAGGACAAGCCAAAGTCTTTCCAGTGACCTGCAGGACTCCACAGGAACTAGCCCCGTGACCCTCCCCTTTTCATGCTACTTGAGCCTCACTGGCTTCATGCCGGGAATTCTCCCGCCTTGGCTGCTCTCTCTGCCTGAGTGTTCTTTCCCTGGGTTTCTGCAGGGCTAACCCCTCGAATCCCTCAAGTCTTCATTGAATCTCCTTTTCTCAGTGAGGCTACCCTGACCGCCTTATTTAGGGTTGCAGTCTGACTTTTACACCAGGCCTCTTATTGGGCTCTAATTTGAGGGAAAAGACTTCGAATTTATCCCCTCCTACCATATTACATCATTTACTTTTTCTCTGTGTCTCTCTATACTAGGAAGGAAGCGATATGAGGGTTAGGATTTGGGGCTTTTTGTTCACTGATGTATCCTAAGTACCTAGAACAGTCAGTTCAAGGCACCTTATGGGCACTTGACAAACGTTTCTTGAATGAATAAACGGACCTGTGATGTGACTACAGATTCCTTCCCACACGATGCACTCGGAGGCCCCTTTCTTCCCACCCAGCCAGTGCCAGGCATTCTGCAGCAACACTGCTCCATCATCCTCTTTTCTCTGCCCCTGCAGATTGACATCTTCAGCTCCCTGGCCACCAGATTATGGTTGGGTTCAGCTAGCAGAACACTGCAGGAAAACACAGGGGGAGGCACGAGAGATCGGGGTCTGTCCTGTCCTCACCTCTATCCTGCTTCTTCCCAAAGTGCTGGGATTACAGGAGTGAACCACCGTACCCGGCCTCATTTTACTTATTATAGCCACAGGTTCAAATCTATTCATATTTTTGTTTTGCTTTGTTTTTTCTGCTCTGTTTAGAGTCGGAGTCTCACTCTGTCATGCAGACTGGAGTGCAGTCACACAATCACAGCTCACTGCAATCTTGAACTCCTAGGCTCAAGCAATCCTCCTGCCTCAGCCTCCCAAAGTGCTGAGATGACAGGTGTGCACCACCATGCTCAGCCCATATTTATTTTTTAACCCTTGTTCTATTATTACCTCACTCTCTGCAAAGACTTCTAGAACCAACTACTTGGAGTTAGGCCAAACTTTACAGCTCCAAGGGCACAGTCCTCCACAAGACTGGTCTCACGTCAAACCCCAGCTGCAAGCCCAGGGGTCTCCAGGTGACCCTCATTTACAAGCAGCTGGCTACAAATTCAGAGGTTCCCACTACTCCCTCAGGTCAATAATTTGCTAGAATGATTTGCAGAACTCGGGAAAGCACTATACTTATGATCAAGTTTTACTATAAAGGATACAATCCAGACCGGCCAAAGGGAGAGATGCAGGTGGCAAGATTTGTCCCAAATGCAAAGCTTCTTTGTCCTAAGGACACACTACCCTCCCTGCACATCAGTGTGTGACAATGCCCAGAGTATTACAAACCAGGGACATTTACTGAGCTTCGGTGTCCAAAGTTTTTTTTAGAGGTTTCATTACACAGGCTTGGTTGATTGAATCATTGGCCACAAAGGTGAACTCAATCTCCAGTCCCTCTGCCTTATCTGGGGTTTGGGCTCAATGCTCCCAACTCTAATTGCATGTTTGATGAAAAGAAGGGAGAAGGAAAACATAAAAACCCTCCTCCTTACATGAATGCCCTTCTCTCCTCAGTTCTCATCACTGCTCTTCTAGCTAGCTTTCTCTTGGCCCAAAGTACACAAATGGTGGCTCCAGCAGGTTCCCTATTCCTGGACATTTTCAATTCTAAGCAGCAGCCTCAGGCATTGGTGATCCTATTGGATGATCCAGTCACATGTTCTTCCTAAATGCCAAGGGTATGATTATGCTACATTGCTTGGAGGAGTGTGCAGCCTTGCCTCATTCTGCAGAAGTTCCCAGCCATGCTGTAGCCCCAGTTCCATATACGTACCACAGCCACCAACACAGGAGCCTGTAGGGCACAGTCAGAATCCATCTTCTTTACCTCTTGGGTTCAGATAACCAAGCAAAGTTCTCCTCCAGGCCATTTTCATGTTCTCTCTGTCTTCAATACACATTCTCCTATACATGCCTCATAGTCCTGATTAGGTTAGCAGGCCCTGTGGTTGAGCAGACTTCCAATTTGGGAATTGAATGTCAGTTTCTTCCTACATTTAGGCCCAGAATCACCCTACTCTTGCCCAATGTCTTTGAACTGTTTCTTCATCCAGATCTTTTCATCCCTTAATACATTCTTTCTCTCAAGAAGAATATCAGTTTCTCAAGGAGAGAGATCCTGGGGTCTCTCCAGACACACCGACATGTGCTTGAGTCCCAACGTAGCTACACATGAACTAATTCGTCAGCCCCTTAGGGTCTTGATCAGGTCACCTTGAGCCACAATTTTCACCAACCTTTCCTCTCTGATGGAAATCTGAAGTCCTCCCTGGGATTTCCAAGGGTTCTTTCTGCTTCCAGGTGCTTTCTTCTGTGGGTGATCTCTCTGATCCAGAGAATATCCACCCAGAATGAAGCTCAGCACTTCCTTTGGTTCACAAACACACAACCGCCCAAAGCATTCACTGAGCAGTAGCCTCTATTGACTATTTCAGGGTCGGGGAGAGGGGTACACAGCACATTAACAAATCACTGCAAGTCATAGAGTAGATATTCATGCCCTCAATAGTTCCTTTACCCATCCTTCTATAGAGGCTTCTCATAGCCCTTCACGCCAGGCAGTGCCAGTCTTTCTGCTTTCACCCCAGGCAGTGCCAGGATTTTGATTTCTCCTGATTCATGCTCCCTGGCTCCCCACCTGCTTCCTCACTCATCTCCAGGTCTCCCCCACTATTATATACAATAACAAGCTGACTCTTCCCAAAACAGGGTCCAAGCTTGCTGGCCCAGAGTAGTCAGGTGCTCAACAGATGCAAAAACTTGGATTTGACCCCCTTTAAAGGAGTTGTGGTTACAAATAACAACAACAATGAGAATTTGGGGGTGATCCTATGCCAGAATAACAGAGATAGATAGATACATAGATAGATAGATAGATAGATAGATAGATAGATAGATAGACAGATGATAGATAGATAGATAGATATTGATTGATAGATGAAAAACTGTAACCCCAGTTTTGTATAGATCAATCCAAACTTTGCATCCTAGCATTCAAAGCCCTTCACAACGTATCTTCCATTTACCTTCTATTGTCTTCTACCATTCTTTTCCAAAACACATCCTAAGGACCAGCATGGCTGGTGTCGTCTACCATTTTTTTTCCAAAACACATCCTAAAGATCAATGAGGCTAGTGACCTCAACACCCTTAGAGAAATTTGGTTTATTATTCCTCCTTCAAAACGCCTCCACTCTGCCAATCTACTGTACCATGATGACACTTATTCTCCATATTACATATTTTAGAATTAGGGGTAACATTTTACATTTAATTTTAGTAGATTGTCTTAGAATATTATTCCTTCATTGTTTCATGTCATGTTTTCCAAACAAGAATCTAAAGCGCCTTGAGCCCAGCTGGGAACATCTGCACGTCATCAGCTGGACTCCAGTCCCAGTGCTCAAGGTGGCTGGACCACAAAACCACATGGAAGCCCTTGCATAATGTTAGGAGGTGTCAGCAAGATGATTTGAGTCTTACGCCGAGGCCTCTCTCTTCCCACAGGGGGTCTGCACCACCCCCAGCAGCCAAGTTACCCTGTGACAGTCATTCATCTGTGCTCTGGGTGGCCCATGGGATGAGTGTACTACTGGGCAGGTGTAACTTCAGGGGCACACACAGCAGACATCCCCAGCTGACATGACAACCTACTGGCTTCTCAAGATTTGACTAATCATATATAGTCATCCCACAATATCCTCGGGGTATCGGTTTCAGGACCCCCAAGTACATCAAACCTCATGCATACTCAAATCTTGTGGTCAGCTCTGAGGAACCTGCATCTAGCAAGGGCCGACTTTGCATATACGCAGGTCCTGCATCCCAAGAATACTGTATTTTTGATCCGCATTTGGTTGAAAAAAAAATCCACTTGTAAGCAGTGCAGTTCAAGCCCATGTTGTTTAAGGGTGAACTACATTTCTGTGAGGGGATCATCTTCAAATAAAGTCCTTGTTTCTGTACCAGTTACAGCAAAGGCCCTGCTTTGAGAATTTAACAGTCAGAGTAGCCACCCACTTCAAAACTGACCAGTCCCATCCGTGGCAAGCAGACGATGTGACATCAACGGCTCTTACCGCACCAGGCTAATACAGTTATCCTGGTCGTAGTTTCATTTTACTGAAGGCCTTATTAAAGCGCCCCCACACAACTCAGCCAGGAATTCACCAGGAACCAAATTTAAACAAATCAAACCCCGAAAACGTGCTCAACAATTCAAGATTACAGAAGGGAATAAAGACGAAAATAAGAAAAGCCTCAATCATATTTGTCATATCTCCATCGTTTCTCATAATAATTCTCAAAGTTCTTTATTCCTTTCATTTATTTAATTAAAAACTTAGGCCATGCACGTTGGCTCATACCTATAATCCCAGCACTTTGGGAGGCCGAGGTGGGCAAATCACGAGGTCAGGAGATCGAGACCATCCTGGCTAACACGGTGAAACCCCGTCTCAACTAAAAATACAAAAAATTAGCCAGGCTTGGTGGCGGGCACCTGTAGTCCCAGCTACTCAGGAGGCTGAGGCAGGAGAATCGCTTGAACCCAGGAGGCGGAAGTTGCAGTGAGTCAAGATCGTGCCACTGCACTTCAGCCTGGGCAACAGAGCAAGACTCCATCTCAAAAAAAAAAAAAAAAAAAACTTAACCATAACATTATACAATTTAAGCAGCATCATATTTGTTAATATCTATTTTCAAAAGCGACTCTTCCTAATTTTATTGTTTTCTTCCTCCCTTTTCCACGCATTTGTTTGTTTTTCTTCCTCCTAGAAAGTCATGTTCTAAGTTATCAAAATGTGTTTTTCCTCGAGCTCTTCAGGGAAAAAATGCCATATAAAATTAATTCATGATTATTTTATGTAAATTATTATCTAAAGTACTCACTATGTGTAACGGTTAAAGTTGATTGTTACTAAAGTGATTCTAAATATGAAAGTGTATAAAACCATGAACTATTCTCACACTACATCTCAAAGAAATTTGAAATTTCTAGTAAATTTCAAATTTACTAGAAGACTAGTTCAGATATTGTTTTTAATGATTTACAATCATCTTCTGAATTTTCATTTGCAAGTCAAAGTCACAAAACTAAAAGTGCTACATGTTTTCTGACCAGATTCTCTGAAATAATTATATAGTGCTTGAGCCATTGTGCTATAAATATCTTTGAAATCAATGCTATTAAAGAAATGCTATATCAGCTGTGAAATGAGAATTTCTCCTCCTGTCCGTTGACATTTACAAAAATTATACGAACTTATTGATAGAAAATCCGTTTGCTTGGTTTCTTTTTAAACATCTTATGCTTTAAATAATATTCAGTGTTTTTCCAGTAGGTGGAGTATTAGTCTAGATAAAGTAAATCACTGTGTGAAAGCTAATTTTTTCTTCCTACTATTTTGAGAAATTTTTGATATAAAACATAAATCACCTAATAGTTTCACTAATTCTTTTAATTGCATCAATATGGTATGATTTCAATTACTCTAGACCTTAAGAGGCAGATATATTTTACTGATTACATTACCATAATAACAATGGCATAATGACAATAGCAGTAAGTACTTATTATACCTCTCATTTTAAAATTGCTTATCAAGCCATTAGAGAAACCTCCTGACATCTCTGAAACAGAAATTACACAACAAAGAAAGATCTGTCTCTTAAATCCTTTCTCTCTCGAGCCTTAAGCATTTCTGGGAAACTGCGTTCCTTGTGAGTTGAATATTGGTTCAAGGCTGATGCTACCACTTCCAGTCCAGGAATCTGAGACGATCACTACCTCTCCCTGGGATTCTGCTTCCCCTTCTAAGTTTGTGAAAAGATGGTGATAAACTACATCTCTGAGGCCCCTCCCTACCTGAAAATCCCCAAATGAACCTGAAATTGACAATCTTATGGCTGAATGTCGGGAGCCAAGTCTGCCGAGATGTTTTAGTACATACGGCAAAGATGGCACTTGTTATACGGTCTGGATCTCAAAATGGAAAGTGAGAGAATGATGCCTTTCCAGGGCAGGTGGACGCTTCCTCCCACCCTCCATCCATCACCAAAACCGGTCGAAGTTGAATAGTGCCCTGAAAAGACACCTTCAAGTGGTACCCTAGAGTTGTATCTTCACAGATGATTCTGCTCAAAGCCCCCAGAGACATGGGAAAATACTATTCCTTAGGGCCATGGTAGCAGAACATCTTCAAAGAAACCTCACAGAACTGGTTCAACCTCCTCACTTTACAAATGAGGAAACTGAAGTCCAAGAAGGCTTCCTAACTTGATAAACATCCATTTAACACGTGGCAGAGCCAGGGCCCATCTCCTGGCCCCATTCTCATCCCCCCAGGCCACCTCTCCTCTCTTACACTGGAAGTCTAGAAGCTGGTTTGCAAGGGGTCCCTGAATGACCTTCCATAGAGGACAGTGCCTTACCGAGAAGAGGAAACACATACTGAAACCAGCCACTTTTCTCTTTTTGCCTTCTCACAGTCAGGTGATTCGGGTTTGGAGAGAGCCCCAGCTCCCATGCGCAGGGGATTTTCTGTCCTAGAAAGGCTTAGGCACAGTGGATTCACCTGGATCTCTTCTAGTTTTGCAGCCAGTTTTTCTTTCTTGCTCTTGGACCGGAGAGCCCCCAGACCCAGGCGTAGGCTTAGGTAAAGGGGGCTCAGGAGACAAATCTGTCTGCTTTGGCCCTAGGCTAGGCCACCTCTGGCCTTGCCAACAATTAATTAATACATTAGTTAATTAATTAATTAAGTCAAAGTCCTCCAACGTGGTTGAGCCCAGCTGGGGACTGGTAATAAAGTGAGTGGTTTAGAGAATAATTCCCAGAAGAAGCACAAATTGATTATTGTATTTGGTGAAAGGACAGCAGAAGAGCATTCTGGGCAAAAGATACAGCTGGTCTAAAGCCCTGAGCACACCTGGGAGTGCACAGTGCCTCCCCAGGTGTGAGAGTCAGGTCACAGCACAGGGGCAAGGTCTAGGCGAGGGCACTGCATTCTCGCCTCTCCATTCTACGAAGATGCCCCCTACCCCTCTGATCTCCCCAGGGCCATTTAATCTCTCCCAAAGAGGCAAAGGCTCCCTGACTTATCCATCTGCAGTTACCTGCAGGATTCGGTTAACTTTCCCTTCGTAAAGGCATCCGCCGTGAAACACACCAGGCACCTCCAGGACCGGCATGCATCGCTAACCCAGTGACAAAAGCATGGCTGTTGCTCGTTTATTCCAGAGTTCTGTTAGGGGAGAGTGTTTCTTGGCCTCTTTCTTCTTCTTGAGTATCTCTATAAGTCGGCAGGATTTATGAGTAGCTCAACCAAAAACAAATTAAGGTAGACAACGTGACCTCTAAATGGGTCAGCCTCCCAAATGGTGTCCTCTCATCTGCACCCATGGCTGTTCTTGGGATTGGAGGGATGGCCGCAGGGCTTGGCAATGTAGGTTGGGAGGGGGCTGGCCTGCTGACCCTCACCCTGATGGGCTTGTGGCTCTCAGCAATGTGGTCCCAAAAACAAGTTGCACTGAAATCAAGACTCTCAGAGCAGAGCAGGGGCAAGTGTCTCTTGCATGAAAATTCGGAGTCCCAGATTCACGATCAGCCAGTCTCCCCATCGATGTGGTCTGGGAGGATGGAGCCAAGCTCACTCACTCAAACTCGATGTCAATAAAATGCTATGAGGGCTTCAGTCCACTGAGTCATTCACAGAGATTCCTCCCTCTACAAACAGAAGTTCTAATGGAAGTAAAAGCTAGGAATCCACACCTTAAACACACACACACACACACACACACAGACAGATTTACATACAGATACATACACGAACATGGCTCAGCCAGTGCTGACCCATTTAACACATGTTAAATGAGCACCTTGCATATCACAGGCCCTTTTCATGTGGATCGTAAATTAACTGGAAGGTTTATTAGATAACACTACAGAGAAAGAAATAGCCGAAAGTCCAGAGGTGAGGTGTTAGCCACGGAGCTCTGACAACCAGGTGGATTTCCACTGCACCTGCTGAGCCCACTGATCAGTGTTTAACAAGCGTGTGTTATGCCACGCTCCTGGGGCAGGAGTGGTAACTGAGGCAGCGTCCTTGAACCCACAGGGTTACGGTCTCACCAAGGGAGGATCAGGAACAGAGCTGCAACCCTGGACTAGCAGGAGAGTCACACCTAATCCTACTTCTTTATCTCCCACACATCTACATTTGCTCCATGTCCTCTCCATTATCAGGAACAAAGTGATTCTAGGGTTAGGAAGGGGCAGAAAACATTTAGATGAACGTATCCTTGATACTGGGGTCAAGGCCTGCTTGTTCGTATTTTCAATTGCAAATGGCCCTAGGCTTGTGTATACCCTTCATAGAATGGAGATTCCGATGGGGAGAAAGAGATGGTCTCCACTCTTCAAACCCTCTCTTCTTTGAAGTCTGTGGGAATTTCTAGTTTAGAAGGACGGGTAGACACAGATAAGGGGTGCGAGTTGAGCTGATAATTGTTTCTCCTACCTGAAGTCTATCTGCATCAGCCTCTTCTTATCTTCAGCCTTGGGCTTCAACTTGGAGTAAATAAAACATTCATCAGATGATATGCTCTAGGCTGGGCGTGGTGGCCTACAATCCCAGCATGTTGGGAGGTTGAGGTGGGAGGATCACTTGAGCCCAGGAATTTGAGACAAGCCTGGACAACATAGTGAGACCCCATCTCTCCTAAAAATAATTTTAAAAATTAGCCAGGCAGCCAGGCACGGTGGCTCACACCTGTAATCCCAGCACTTTGGGAGGCTGAGGCAGGCAGATCACGAGGTCAGGAGTTCAAGACCAGCCTGGCCAACATGGTGAAACCCCATCTCTACTAAAAATACAAAAATTAGCTGGGCATGGTGGCATGTGCCTGTAATCCCAGCTACTTGGGAGACTGCAGCAGAACTGCTTGAACCAGAACTTGGGAGGCAGAGGTTGCAGTGAGCCAAGATCACACCACTGCACTTCAGCTTGGGCAACAAAAGCAAAACTCCGTCTTAAAAAAAAAAAAAAAAAAAAAAAAAAAAAAGCCAGGCATGGTGGTATGCACCTGTGGTCCCAGCTACTCGGTAGGCTAAGGTGGAAGGATCACTTGAGCCTGAGAAGTGGAGTCTGCAGTGAGCTGTGACTGCGCCACTGCACTCTAGCCTGGATGACAGAATAAGACCCTGCCTCAAAAAAAAAAAAAAGAAACTCCTTAGTCATACACCTAAAGCCAATCTCTCCATAATCACTTTATTGGGAATAAAATGATATTTTGAAGAAAAAAGATGATATATTCTAAATTCAATATCGCTGAGCTAATTCCAAGTATTCCCTAAAATTAACGATTAGGAAAAACAGCAAGAAATCCTAGGCCTTTGTCTAGGCCATGGAAAAAGCGGGATCTGCCTTGAAATTGTGTCCTTCATCTCAGGAGATGGGGCCCGGCCCCTCCACCGGTCCAGGAGAACCCACGCCATTTAGGTATTTCTTCTTTAGCTTCTCCACTGCATCCCCAAAGCGTAAACGGCTGATGAAATCCCTTCAAACTCTGCCAACGCAAACTGTGGCTTAAAAATGGAAATGAATGGATATTGCAAAATAATACCTGAATAGACGTTAAAGCTTTAAGCTCCACGTGTAAGACACAAGGTCCTGCCTAAATCAGTATGCTTCTAATGGCTTCATGGCAAATGTTGAACAAGTTAGTGTTCACTCAAGGTTGTCCTGGGGTACATGGAGTCACAGTCTTTAATTTTAATGAGCCTCTATTACACAATCTCTTATCGCCTCTTAACTGCCAGTGAAATGACCACCAGCTAAATGTACAGCAAAATACATTTCTACAAAAGAGCTCACTTGGACCCCAAAGAAATTACCTTGAAATTATTACACTTAACCGTGGCAAATGCACCAGGGTTCATTTGAAAAGAGGTGGCCACCTGGCAATACGAGTGAAATCATATAATATGTCATTTCCTTAGGCTTTTCATGTTAAGCTTTTCTCGCTATATCTGATTTAAAGTATTTTCTCTTTTAAATGTAAATATTTAAAATGTAGCTGATCCTCTCCCTCTCCTAATTGAGGTGACTGGGCTAGTTCAAGAGACTGTGGCCTGCAGCTCACCGTTTTGTCTCTGGAGTCAGAGTGCCAGCCTTGGTACTTACTCTGTGACTGGACACTTTATAATATCAAAGATACGAGATCATACCTATCTAATATCTATTCAATAAGACAATACATATTAAAAGATCAGCACAAAGCCTTGTACACAGCAGTTGCTCAATATGTGCTTCCTCCTTTTTCCTACTATTGAATCCCACCAGCCAAGACCAGAACTATATCTGCAGTTGGACAAAGTTGGGTTTATCCCTTGTTGCAGTGAGGGCTTAGCAGTTTGAGTCAAACGGGAGCTGGAAACCACAGTCGGTTAAAATGGGGTGATAAATAGAAGCATTAACTATGGCAAACAGCAACTCCAAGATGTAAGGAAATCCGTGCAGTTTCCTAGTGGCCCCCTAGGGCTGAGGGAGCCCATCCAGGGACAACCTCGGTGGGTGTCTGACCGTAATGGAGGCAAAGCTGCCCCTGTCTCCTCTGACAGTCTCCAGCTGGGCCTGAGAGTTAAGTTGACGTAGGAGAGACTAACAGAGGAAACGCAAGCCAATGTTTACAGGCATGTGAGGGCCTTCACAGGACACCAAGATCCAAAAGCAGCCAGGCCTAAGTGCTTATGCAACAGGGTGAACAAAAAGTAGTAATTTTGAAAAAGTAACTAACTATATGGAGATACTAAAGACAAGGGTTATTTTAACAAGAGCTTTTTAACTGTCAAAACACTTTTTGTTTGTACCGATTTCCCTCGGCCTCAACTCCCCGCCTCTGGAGAGAAGAATGTTCTTTTCTTCCTGGTAGAGAGAAGCCATCTTCCATATGAAAGTTTCATCTCCTGCTTTCAGGAAGAAAAGGGGAGGTCAGAGTGTCCTTTGTGCATCTGTTGTTTTTCTTTTTTTCTTTGAGATGGAGTCTCACTCTCACCCAGGCTGGAGTGCAGTGGCACCATCTCGGCTCACTGCAACCTCTGCCTCCCGGGTTCAAGCGAGTCTCCTGCTTCAGCCTCTCAAGTAGCTGGGACCACAGGCGTGCACCACCATGCCCGGCTAATTTTTGTCTTTTAGTAGAGATGGGGTTTCACCATGTTGGCCAGGCTGGTCTCGAACTCCTGACCACAGGTGATCCGCCCACTTTGCCCCCCAAAGTGCTGGGATTATAGGCGTGAGCCACCACGCCCAACGCATCTGTTGTTTTTCAAGTGCCTTTAGCTCAAAATTGTCCCCATCTCAAGCCAGCATATCTGGAGGTGGCGTGTTCTGAAGCCCTTCAGGACCTTGCTGGAGAAGGTGTGTCTGCCTGGCAGAGAGCAGAGACCCCTGCTTAGCCAAGCTGGAGCTGGTCCGGAATTGCTGGGGGAGCGACAGGCTGGCTGCCCTCTGGAGTGCAGGTGGGGGAGCAGGCAATAGCAATGGCGGTGGGGGTGAGAGTGAGGGGCTACCAGGGCGGTTCAGACACACGTCCAGAGGTCTGTGGGCAGGTTGCCATGGCTGAGACGCTAGGGTCACAGAGGGTTCTCTTAAAAGGCCTGCGACTCAGACAGGCTTCACCTCATGTCCTCGCACTCTGGGCAGAGCCTCTGCTATCCCCCTCCTCGAGCCTGTGCTGGAAATTGCAGTAAGCCCCTTCCTCTTGCAGTGTCCCTCCAGAGCACGCTACTGAGAAAGCTTGACATTGTGCTCACCTTAAAAGCAAAATCTTTAAGGAATTCCATTGTTTATCATAGAGCTTATATTGAAGGGTGCATTGGGAGCCAGGAAGCAACGAGTTGATTGATAATTGACGCAAAGGGACCCATATACCTTAGAGAATGACGGGGTGGCTCTAAGAGTCAGGAAGGGCTTATTTTAGGAATCAGGCTTATGGTGGGGAGGGTTCAAGGAAGCAGGTGTCTCTAATCAACTGGGTGCTCTCAGAAAAGCAGGGCTAATTCAGTTATTGGGCCTCTTAATGCATTTCATCTGGGAGGCAGGAAGAATGGAGAACACTAACGTTGTTATTGAAGAAATTGCCGGGAGAAAGAGATGTTTTGGTTTTGGGTTGTACAAGGTCTGTTATTTTTTAATTTCTTGTATTAGTTTCCCAGTGTTGCTGTAACAAATTGCCACAAACTTAAGGACTTAAAACAACATGCATTTACTATCTCACAGTTCCAGAGGCCAGAAGTGCAAAGTCAGCGCAAACGGCTGAAGTCAATCAGAAAGGCTGGTGCCTTCCGCAGGCTCTGAGAGGAGAATCTGTTTCCTTGCCTTTCTCAGCTTCTAAGAGTCTCCTGCGTTCCTTGGGCCCTTCCTCACGTCACTCTAACTTCTGCTTCCGTTGTCACATCTTCTCTCCACTGCGACCCTCTTGCCTCCCTCCTATAAAGACCCTGGTGGGGACCTGAGACCCACCCAGGGAATCCAGGAGAATTCCCCTATTATCTTAATCACATCTGTAAAGCCCCTCTTGCCAAGGAAGGTGACGCGCTCTCAGGTCCTGAGAATTAGGATGTTATCTTTGGGAGGCATGATTCCGCCCACCATATCTCCATATTCAGACAAAATTGCAGAATGGTCTCGTGTCACATGGTCAGGTCCTGGAGAGCCCTGATCCGATGCTGCTGTTCTGAATTATGTTCGGCAGGGGGACAGCACCACCTGGTGGTAACACTCGGCAAAGCATCCGCCGTCAGCTGCAGAGCTGCTTTTCCTTTGGGGTCCTCTTGCTTTAACCCACCTTCCCCACAATCCCACTCATCCCTTCCGGCCACAGCCCGCCTTCTTAGACACAAGGCAGGCAGGAGTATGCGAGAGAGAAGACGTAAGGACGCCTTGCTCGTGGTAAGATCAGAGACTGATCGGAGAACGCTTTCCTCCTTCCCTCCTTTGAGAATTTCCTCAGGCACTGCAGCTTCACCTTTGTGAATGTTGAAGGCTTTCTGGATATCCTCGTCACTTCTCATATTTTCCTAACTGAGCAGGTAATTTGGATTAGAACTGTACAGCATGACCCATTTAGGTTCCTGTTCACTGTTTTGAAATTAATGACTTCATCAATGAGTTAAGGCTAGGAGTGTTCATTATGTTTTTTAGAAAAGTCAAAACCGAGCAGGATCACCGAGAAGCAAGATGACACAATCAACAATCAAAAACCTCTGAGTAGAGGCTATTACTGTGTTTCAAAACAAAATATATAAAAGTGGCCGGGTGCGGTGGCTCACGCCTGTAATCCCAGCACTTTGGGAGGCCGAGGTGGGCGGAACACAAGGTCAAGAGTTCGAGACCATCCTGGCCAACATAGTGAAACCCCGTCTCTACTAAAAATACAAAAATTAGCCGGGCGTGGTGGCGGGCGCCTGGAGTCCCAGCTACTAGGGAGGCTGAGGCAGGAGAATGGCGTGAACCCGGGAGGCGGAGCTTGCAGTGAACCGAGATGGTGCCTCTGCACTCCAGCCTGGGCGACAGAGCGAGACTCAGTCCCAAAAAAAAAAAAAAGAAAGAAAGAAAAGTTTATATAAATAAATGTAAAATTTAGCATTTTTGGTTAAAGCCATCAACCACGCAGACATAGGAAGGGAATACACTTATAGAGATCAACTAGGAATTTTATTTTACTGTAGCTCAGCAAAAATAATATAAAATGGCTGCCAAAAAGCCAAGGCCGTCTAGTCTGGATCTGCAGAAACAATTCAGGAAAAGGAAGGTACCTCCACTGTGTGGGTCATGCCAAACCTGAGGACGGATTTCCCTTCGGTGCTCGCGACTTTAAAAGTTGCATTAACAACTGTTAATGTCAATTATCAAGATCCCACCATGTATTGTATTGGGCTGTATTGGGCCTGAGGACACAGAAATGTAAAAACCTAAACATGGAAATTTAATCTTTAAAACTGTGTACTATGTATCCATAGAACGAAATACTAGTCATCCATGACAAATGATTTTTGTTGTATATTTATTGAGACAGAAGACATTCATAATATATCGTCAAGTTAAAAAATATACAAAACATAATATGTGTTAGTTGGGTTCCATCCCTTTTTACTTAAAAAGTTGAAAGAATATACATTAAAAGTTAACATTGACTATCAGCTGGCAGTTTTTTTCTGCAAATCTATATCATTTTTTCTATAACGAACGTATATTACTTGTATCCATTTTTAAAGCTAAGAAAATAGAATTTTGTTGTATTTTTATCGACACAGAGCGACATTCATAATATATCATCAAGTTAAAAAATATACAAAACAATGTGTTACTTGGGTTCCATCCCTTTTTTATTTAAAAAGTTGAAAGAAAATACATTAGAAATTAACATTTATTATTAGCAGGCAACTTTTTTTCCGGCAAATCTGTGTTTTTCTATAATGAACATATATTATTTGTATCCATTTTTAAAATTCTTTAAGAAAATAGAACTTTGTTACAAATTTAGTTTTTTGTTTTGTTTTTTTTGTTCTGAGATGGAATCTTGCTGTCACCAGGCTGGAGTGCAGTGGCGCGATCTCGGCTCACTGGAACCTCCACCTCCCAGGTTCAAGCCATTCCCATGCTACAATCTCCTGAGTAGCTGGGACTATAGGGGAGTGCCACCACACCCAGCTACTTTTTGTATTTTTAGTAGAGACAGGGTTTCATCATGTTGGCCAGGATGGTCTCGATCTCTTGATCTCATGATCCACCCACCTCGGCCTCCCAAAGTGTTGGGATTACAGGCGTAAGCCACTGCCCTGATCACAAATTTAGTTTTTAAATTGTAAGAAGTATGAGGTGGAGATTATCACCTCCTAAGGCATTGCCAGGTAGGCTATTGGTTAACAATGGCATTTTGCATTTAACCATTTAACAAAAGAGAGTAAGTAAACAGAAGTGCGGTGGCAGTTACCCATGGGTGTCATTAGATGGCAGCAAAGCAGCTAGCTAATATTTAAGAGCAGAAACTGAAGAGCTTTTGCTCCAAAGAAACATATATATGAGATTTTAAATATTTAAGATTATCTGAACGGAATAAGTGTTTTTGTTTGTTTGTTTGCTTCCAGACAGGGTCTCACTCTGTCACCTAGGCTGGAGCACAGTGGCATGACCACAGCTCACTGCAGGCTTGACCTCCTGGCCTCAAGCTATCCTCCCACCTCAGCCTCTCGAGTAGCTGTGACTACCGGTGCACACCACCACACCCAGCTACTTTTTAAAATTTTTATAGAGATAATGGTCTCACTATATTGCCCAGGCTGGTCTTGTACTCCTGGACTCGAGAGATCCACAAGCTTCAGCCTCCCAAAATGCTGGGATTACAGGCATGAGCCACCACACCTGGTTTGTTTTGTTAATGATGCATTTGACGTTATAGAAAACTTTTCAAAATGATAGCCAAGCATGCAAATGTTTACTTTAATAGTTTTTGGGGGTGGGGTGCTTTTGGATTTTTGTGGCAATACTACTCATGCACAAAAACCTACTGTACCAGTTCTGTGGGTCAAAAATCTAAAATGTTCTTGAGATGTGAGGACCCTTTGACTCTTAACCGTGACTGTGCAATGATCTCTAAGTTTCTAGGAAGCAGTTTCAAGATTCTGCTGCAGACAGTCATTAATAATGAATGACTATTCATCGTAGTATGATGTGGTGATGCCATTTGATCACTTGCCTGCCCTCTTTCTTCACTGCCACTCTCTCCTTCCTCCCAAGAGCACAGCTAGCTTCCAGCATCTTTGCTCATCTGAAGGACAGTTTTTTGCCTAATCAGGCCCAGTTTGAGCAAGGACTCTGGATCGTATCTGCTTCTGAGTCTGTGCTGCTGCCTTCAACAAGTTGCTGCTTGTTCTGTCTCCTTCCTCTACACAATTGACGTGGCCCCCATGGGAATGCCCATGTCGGAAAGCAATGCTGTGCTTTCTTATAACCCGCACCTCTCGTCATGCTGACCTTAGCACGTATTAAACTCACTTCAGAAAAATGAATGCTTACAAAAGAATGTTTTCCACCGGGGTGGGGGGCCCAAAAAAGGCCCAGAAAGCTCTAAGAGCTCACAGTTGGAGAAACACATCTAGACTGTATAGGTGGTAAAAAGACAGCTGAGAAGATAAGGCAGGAAAAGCCACACAGGGACACAAAGGGCAAGGCCAGTGATTCTGACACCACCATTGGCACTTTGTCCACGGGCAACAGGATCAGAAACGTGCGTCGCTTCCGTGGTTACTGTCTGTGCACCGTTCCCAACAGCTTCATTTCTCTCCCTCTGCTGCCAACTCGCCCAACCACCCCTGCCTGTGGCAGGAGAAATCATTCTCATTGGGATAACCGAGAAAACTACAACTGTTTACCCCACTTGACCCTCAGCATTTGAGTGTGTGTGTGTGTATGTGTGTGTGTGTGATCATGTCACAAAATAAAATGTTTCCGCAAAACTTCATTGCTGTAGATGTGGCATATTCCCTATCAGAGGCTGACACTGGAGATTGGATCAAGCAGATGTTACTCCATTAAAAAGAACATGGATCTTAATCCTGTAGGTAAATCATCCACAGAAAATGTACATCACCTGGAGAGCCGTTCATAAAGGATCTTCACTTACCATCCTCAGATTTTTTCAAAGAACCCCAGCAAAGGAAGACATGGGTTTCCATTTTCTCGGGGTGGTGTTTTAGAGTCAGTGCTGATGAAATAAGATATCAGAAAACCAGGGTTCAAAGAGTGATGTCATCCCCACAGGGAAGATTTGGTTCCACACAGGGTAGAGACGTGCTTCTAAAAGTGTCTCTTGTTTTCCTCCTGCAGCTCGATCATTATCCTTCTGTGAGTTACCATCTGCCAAGTTCATCCGACACCCTCTTCAATTCTCCCAAGTCGCTCTTTCTGGGAAAAGTTATAGGTAAGAATGTGGTTCGTTAGGTATAAATGCGTGCTACAAATACATTTGGGTAATGTGAGTTTGGATTTTAAAACTATCAGGTAAATTTCTCTTACTGGGGCCAGTCACGAATATCTTCTCTGTACAGGAAAGTTACGTGGTTGTTCTCGGTGTTGCACAAGCAAAGCGTCAACAAATTATCTTTGGGGGAAATTGCTCATGTAACTCATTCTAAAGCTAATTCGCCTTTGAAATACATTGTGATTAGGCTGGGCATGGTGGGTCACGCCTGTAATCCCAGCACTTTGGGAGGCTAAGGCTGGTGGATCACTTGAGGTCAGGAGTTCGAGACCAGCCTGGCCAACATGGCAAAACCCCGTCTCTACTAAAAATACAAAAATTAGCCATGCATGGTGGCAGGTGCCTGTAATCCCAGCTACTCGGGAGGCTGAGGCAGGAGAATTGCTTGAACCCCGGAGGTGGAGGTTGCAGTGAGCCAAGATCGTGCCACCACACTCCAGCCTGGGTGGCAGAGCGAGACTCTGTCTCAAAAAAAAAAAAAAAAAACAACCAAACAAACAAAAAACACATTGTGATTGGTAATGGGGGCTTCTAAGTCAGCGATGGTAATGGAACAAACGTTGTTTGGTGCGTGGCATAAACTACAACCCAAGCGAAGGCAAATCTGCTCCAGGCTTCTCTATGTAGAATTTGGTCTATTACAGACCTCTACCTACTAGCAATATGTAATTTAACGTTTCCTTTGTCAAAGCATATCAACATGATTCTATCTTCCTCTCACTCGTAAGAAAGCACCTTGATATTATTTGCAGATAAGAAGGCCAATAAGGAATTTGACAGTGTGACAGAACACCCTTCCCCATGTGCGACTGTGAATTCCAGAGTCTCCTTGTCCCTCTCTTCACCAGAGGAGATTAGCACTGTGCAAAGCTAAAAAATGTACCATGAGCCACAGATATGTGAAGATTACACCCTAAATTTTTAAAATATCGATATGATTGGTGAAGTATTTTAAAATATTTAATGTGAAGCCAATGAATTTTGTTCATATGAGGCTGTGTACTGTGAACTGCAATGAAAACAGTAAGATGGTGGTGATGTACAGGTGGGAGGGAGGTCACTCGGCGGCCAGTGTGTAGAAGTGATCAGAATAGCATTAATGGTAAAAATGCTCACTTAAAAACATGCGGCAGGGGTCACAAAATGAGGAGTGAGTAGGAGACTGAACCTATAATAAAAATAATAGACTGGGCGTGGCGGCTCATGTCTGTAATCCCAGCACTTTGGGAGGCTGAGGCAGGCAGATCACGAGGTCAGGAGATCAAGACCATCCTGGCTAACACGGTGAAACCCCGTCTCTACAAAAAAATTTAAAAAAATTAGACGGGCGTGGTGGTGGGCGTCTGTAGTCCCAGCTACTTGGGAGGCTGAGGCAGGAGAATGGCGTGAACCCGGGAGGCGGAGCTTACAGTGAGCCGAGATCACGCCACTGCACCCCAGCCTGGGCGACAGAGGGAGACTCTGTCTTAATAATAATAATAATAATAATAATGTGCACTTATGTAAGATTTACTGTAGGCCAGGCTCCAGTTTAAGCACTTGACAGATATTAGCCCATTCAATCTTCGTCACAATTGTATGAGGTAGTTAAGATTATGATCTCCACTTTTTAGATGAGAAAACTGAACCATGAAGAGATTAAATAACCGGGCCACCTGGCTAATCAGTGGCAGAACCAAAATTTGAACTCAGGCAATCAGACACCAAGGGAGCTCTTTACTGTGCTGTAATCCCTGTGGCAGTTAATCTAGAATGCAAAGAGAAAGACAGAGAGGAAAGATTGGGCAGGTGATAAATGCTGAGGCTGTCCAGGTAAGGGATAAAGCCTATATCTTGTGCCAGGAAGTGGTCAAGAACAAAAAGGATTCCTGGGTTTAGAACCAGGAACACACCAGTCCGGCTGGAGAGGGAGGCATCCAGAAGAGAGGGGGAAAGCAGGTGTGTGCATGAAGCCCAAGACCACACACCTGGTGAACAAGACAGTGGGGAGTGGCAAGTGATAAATCAAAGGGTGGAACTGGAAAACAAAAGAGGGCTAACATGTATTGATCACTGAGCCTTAGATATTGTACGATATGAAAGATAATTAAATAGCTTCTGCTTAATCCTTTGCATCCTGAAAACAGCACTCAGGCACAGTCTCAAATCTAGCTTTGGATTACCTCACCCTGATGTCCTTATCTGAATTTTCTCCAACACTTTCTATAGTTGATGTATTTTTACAGATCTTATCACCACTTTTATGTTCTGTGAACAAGAAGAGACTTTGTGACATCACATGTTACACGTGTAAATATAAGAAACAAACGTCACAACAATCCAATGAAATGAGATCCCTGATTATGAACCTCATTTTGCAGATGAGAAAACTGAAGCAGAAGAAGGTCAATTTGACAAAAGTTACTCAACTAATACTGGCAAAGCAGAGTTTGGAAGCGAGGTCTCTCTGAAGACAGTCCAGACTCTTAAGTGGGTCAAACAATCTTGTCATTCATGGTGAAGCTCCAGAAGAGGGATGTATTTGAAAGTTGAGCGATGCCATCAGTTAGCAACAAAAAGTGGCTGTTTAGTGGAGTAGGGCCTTGGCATTCATGAGTCATGGATCTGAGACTTTGGTGAGTACCCGCTTTCTACCAGAGGTACTCCCACGGTTCAGTTGAGAATACTTTAAAATGTTAAGTGCTCCTTCAGAACCATATGATTCCATCAAAACAAACGCTACACTATGATATGGTGATGTTCCTAAAGATACTACACTATGATATTCGTAAAGTAACATCAACTATAAACATACCCGAAAATAATAGACTTTTTATTACTTTGTGGAACCTGCAAAGTCAAATTTTGATGGGAATGTTGGATGATTTCTAGGTTCTGTCACTATGAGTAATATTCTCTGGTTCCTCTGTTTTCCAGGTCATGTAACTAGTTCACATTTCAGCACAATTCCAATATACTGTATGGCATGGACCTTCAAGGTCGTGAACAAATAACATCATAAAGGCCACATTTTCTACAACTAAGAATGTACCTTGACATCAATCTGTGCAAAGCTAAAAGTGTACCATGAGCCTCAGATACATGAAGGTTACACCCTGTATTTTTTGTACACCCAAGAAAAATGTTGCTGCATACACAAACTAGGTAACTGTGCATGTGGCAGTGAGTTACAGAAAGTACACATAAATACCTGTAAGGAGGTCCACAATTCCAAGATGGAAATGGTGTTATGCAGGTGAGAGTAGTTAGGGCTCCAGCAATGGGTCCTTGGTGCACTGACTTCTAGTGGAGATTATCTCTCATCCCTACAAGCCTGTGACCTCCCTGCAGACCAAGAAAGCATCTCATAGTTCCACCATATACTAACAAGGAGCAAGTGCTCAATAAATATTTGTTGAATTAATAAAGAGTAAAAGGGGAAGGAAACAGAAAGATATCATTGTAGACGTATACTGCAGGGTGAAAGGGTATGGATGATCATCCTAACAGAATCAGTAAGATTCGCACAGAGGTGAGAGCTGCAATCCTCACATATCTCACAGCCTAAAAGTAGGCATCTGACGATCATGAAGTAGAAAGAATGTGGACTTCGGAATCAGGCAGAGCTTGTTAGACTGGAATCCAGTTCTACCTCTGTTAGCATTGAAATCTTGACCATGTTGCTTTCTTAGTTGAACCTCTCAGAGCCTAGGTTCTCTCCTTTGCAAAATGGGGAACACAAATGCCTACTTGCAGGTTGTTAACTCCCTGAGGGCAGAAGGCAGAGACTTTTTTTGAAACTAATCTATTTACAGCAGGCTGATCAGTGCCTAGTATACAGAAAGGGCTCAAAAAATACTTGTGGAGTAAATGAACTACTCTTTTAATATTAAGCTAATAACGTCTTAAGACATACACAACACAATGCCTAATACATAAATAATTACCATTTTTGATGCTAGCTACATGCCGGTTATTATGCTATATGCTGTAAGTACAATACTGTCTGCGTTTCTCACAACACCACAGACCATTGTTACCCTCGTTGTATAGAATAAGGAGCTAAGGCTCAAAACTATTAAGTTTTCTTCTTAAAGTGGGGTTTCCCAACAGCAGAACTATTGACATTTTGGATCAGAAAATTCTTTATTATGGGGCTGTCTTGTTCATTGCAGAATGTTTAGCATTCTCCCTGGCCTTTACCCACTAGATATAAGTAGCACCCCAAGTTGTGACAACCAAAAATGTCTTCTAACATTGCTAAATGTTCCCCAGGAGGGAAAAATTACCACCCCAGTTGAAAACCACAGGCTTCAAGCTACTCAGCGAGTCAGCGGTGACGCTGAGATTTGAAAAGCGTGATTTGTGACCTAAGACCTATGCTTTGCTTCCTGATGACACCTGCACCTTCCAGAATGGTGAGGAAGCAAGGACGAGGTTCTTGCTACTCTGAAGCTAAAATTCTGTTAATAAAATTGAAGGAGTCTCAGTGAAGACCCCAAGAAGACATGTAAGTGCTTGAGAAGCTAATCACTGGCCACCCCTTCAAGCCAATACTCCTTTGATATTTGATCATTTCACAGGGGCAGGAATATGCTTAAATGTCTCTTTGAAAACAACATATACTTCAGTGAGAGACAACCCATTTGCATTCCCCAGTTGTGTAAAAATCCATCTGTACAGACATACAGTATTGAACTTGCAACTGATATGTACTCCGGCCAGGTTTTGAAACCCCCTGGAGTTTCATGCTCCAAAGTTGTTGCTTTACTTTTATAGGATCAGTTTCTGCTACTCAGAAACTGATTCTATAAAAGAAAGAGAAGAAGATGGCTCTAAATACCTAAAATGACTTCACACTGAGCTCTTTGATGAGCACTCCTCAAAAAGGGACACAGAAAAAGGATGAAAGAAAGGCTACCTAATCAAGGACAAGTGTGATCTTTATAAAGGGGATGGAGGATATATATTCAAGAAATAGTAGTGTGATCACTGCCAACCAACAGCAAACTTTTAGAACGGATTCTTACATAATTCTGAATGCTTCTAGAAGGAATTCAGAATCACTAGCAATCAGCAAAGGTTCACAAAGGAGAAATCTCACTAGACATAGTTATGTCCATCTTTCATCCCTCATATCCATCCATCTTTTACCAGCCGAGTGATGTCATAGACTTTATCTTTCAGCAACAAATTTAATGGTCTCTCAAGAAATCTTCAAGGAAGAGAAATATAACTTGAAGCCGAAAGTGGGGTGTTCTGTTTGCTCATGTCCTTTTCAACATCTCTATTAATGCCTTGGAGAAAGACACAAGTAGCATGTTTATTAAGTTTGCAAATGTCACGAAGCTGAGAGGGATGGTTTAATATGATGGATTATAAAAAGCATTTCAAAACCATCTTGACAGGCTAGAAAGATGGGATAAAAATAATAAGATGAAATGTAATAGAAATAAACTTAATTGCAGCACTTAGATAAAAAAAATATATACAATCACCTAAATAGAAGATGGGAGACCCCCAGCATCATGAAAAAACTTAGGAAATTGGTTTGATGGAAAGTCTGGTACAAGCAATGTTACATGGTGATGGATTCTTAAATGAATGTGATTCTGAGCCACACTAGTATGAGAATCATGTCCAGAGCGAGGGTATTAGTCATCTGAGGAGAAAACCAGATAAACACAAGACCCGTAAAGGAAATGTCAGAAGACCTGGGAATGTCTGATCAGAAAAAAATATGATTTGAGAGACGAGAGAATCAATTTTCAGTCTTTGGTAACTGCCACATGCAGGGTGGATTAGACTTAGTTGAGGCTTACTCAGCAAGACTGACATGGACCAAAAGCAGAAGATATGAAGAGGAAAATCTCAGCTCCATATAAGAAAGAACTTCCTAACAATTAGAGCTTTTCAAAAGTGAGTGGTCTCTACTTTGAGGTAATGAACTCTCTATTATTGAGAATATTCAACAAAGGCTAAACGGAAATGTGCCCTGTATATTAAGGAGTTGTCTGGATTGAGTAAAACCAGATTAGATATAGCCTAAATAAACTTTGAAACTTTAAGATTTGTGGTGGGAGTAATTTTCTTAATTAAAAAGGTGAAAATGCAATATTATAGTAGAGCAGGGTCTCCTGTTCCATTGGCAACTAGGGGGATAACATTTAGGGTTCCTTGATATAAAACACTGTTATGATGCATGATGATAGATATGAATTTAGAAGAATATCAATGTACAGCGATCACCACATCACTGTGAGTTGTGTAATTACATACACGACCTGTTTCCAAGGTGGCAATATGCATTTTAATTTTATTTCTGAGCCCTCTTTAATTAATCGTTTTTCAAATTAACTATTTCTGCCATCGCTGTAAATCAGAGTAATATAAAACCGTAATGAAGTAGATCTATTCTGAAATAAAAAGACGGTAGCTTCTCTGTGTAAACTTGAGAAGCTGTGCTTAGAAAGAAGCTGAATACTAATGCAGTGTCGTTGTTGCTTGGCTGATCATTGCTGT
Organism: Homo sapiens; assembly: GCF_000001405.40. Taxonomy (NCBI): domain Eukaryota; kingdom Metazoa; phylum Chordata; class Mammalia; order Primates; family Hominidae; genus Homo; species Homo sapiens. Next base: position 148,273,688 of record NC_000007.14, read on the forward strand.
TGTCAGTGGCGATGTCTGGGGTGGTAAAAATAAAGCGAACTTCTATCCATTTGAACTAACTAGAGTTTGTAAGTCATATTGGTCTCAGATCCTCATATTTCCCAAACTACCATTATCCAAAGCAATTCCAATAGAAGTGGCTAGTAGCCCCTATATTATTTCTATTATAATCTAAATTGTGAATATCATGATCCTACACGACTTTTTATTGATTAAAAAGTCTTATTCTAAGGCTTTCTAAAACTTTCTGGAGCTTTGGCAAAGCCTCTTCACACAGAAGGAACTGACATACTTAGATCTTCATTTGTTGGTGAAATCATATACTGTGATAACCATGCTGCTCACAGAATATTTCTGGCCAGAGTTATGAATGGAAAAGATTTGTGTGATTTCCAGGCTAGAACATTTAAGTGCTCATGCAAGACCCTCTAGAGTCCTTTTATCCCTTTGGCATGGTGACTGACAAGCCTAAGACAGTGATTTTTTCCGTAAGCCTGGGTCCCTCTGTGACTACAGTGAACAGAAAACTCTTGACTTGTGATGAACATATAGCATGAGATAAAAAAAACTCCTTGCTTTGTTAAGCCACCGAGACTATAGGGCTGTTTGTTACTGTGGCAGAGCCTTGGCCTGTCCTGACTGAGGCATAAGGACTGACTTAAGGGCAGACTTTGCTCTCGCACCCTTGGGTTTGATCTCTGATATAGTTTGGATATTTGTCCCCACCAAAATCTCATGTTGAAATGTAATCCCCAGTGTTGGAGGTGGGGCCTGGTGGGAGGTGTTTGGATCATGGTGGTGGAAGCCTCATGAATGGCTTGGGCCATCTCCTTGGTGATAAGTGAGCTCTCACTCTGAGTTCACACAAAACCTGGATGTTTAAGTATGTAGCACCTCCCCCCAACACTCTTCCTCTGGATCCTGCTTTTGCCATGTACCCTGCCTGCTCCACCTTCACCTTCTGCCATAATCATAAGCTTCCTGAGGCCTCCCCAGAAGCAGATGCCAGTGCTGTGCCTCCTATAAAGCCTGCAGAACTGTGAGCCAATTAAACCTCTTTCCTTATAAATTACCCAGTCTCAGATGTTTCTTTATAGCAGTGCAAGAACAGCCTAATACAATCTCTTACTCTACCATTTGCCGATTGTATGACTTTGTCGGGTTACTTAACATTGTGTGTATCTGTTTTGTCATGTGTAAAATAGGAATAGTAATGGTCTCTGTGTCACGGGATTCAGCAAAATAATACATGTTTAGCGGTTAGCACAGTCTCTGCTGCATAGTATGTGTGTAATACATATTAGTTTTTTACTTTGCATAATCAGCAAATGTATACTCATCATATGTCAGATGCCAGGCATTGTATAAGTCCCTGGAACATCATTAGGGTCCAAGACAGGCACAGTTTCTGCCTTTGGAAACTTTATATATTCAAATCCAGTTCTCAGAGGTTTCTCTTGGGAGAACCCAAAGCAAGATAGGGGATCATACAATGTATCAATATGCACTGGGTCACATCTTTAGAGCTTCAGTTTCTGGAAAAGAAGGTAATGGAAAGTCAATTAGAAGTAAAAAGACAAGAGGGTGGGATAAATGAAAAGAAGTATAGAATTCTTTGGGAGCAAGTAGGGAGGGCACTTGAGCCAGTCCAGGAGTGAGGGAAGGCATACTAGAGGAAGTAACACAGAAGCTGGGACCCTAATGAAGAGTTAGAATGATCTGGGTAAAGCAATGGGCTGAAGTAGAGGCCATAAGGGCGGGGGAGGTCAGTTCTCCATTCTGCACAGCAGTCCACCCAAAACTGTGTGGCTCAAAACAGTAGTTTATTATTTCTGGCAATTCTGTGGATTGGCAGGGTGGTTGTTCTGCTTCATGACTCCAGGCAGGGTGTAAGAATGACTGGATAGCCCGAAATAGCCTCATTCATGTGGCTGGCAGCAAGTGCTGGCTGCCCAGGAGCTCTTTGGGGCCACGAGCCAGGGGCTGAGTTCTCCCCCAAGGGTTCCAAATCATGGCTGCTTGGGCTACCTCATGGCATGGTGGCTGGGCTCCAAGAAGGAGCTTTCCAAACAGCAAATGTAGAAGCTGAAGGTCTCTAAGAGCCACCATTCTTGCCATATGCTATTGACCAAAATCTGGGTTCCAGCCCATGTTCCAAGAGAGAGGAAGCAGACCCTACCTCTTGGTGGCATCGTAGCCAGGTCACATTGCAAAGAAACATGCCATGGGAGTTACGGTTGTGACATCTTTGGAAACACAGTGTGCTATGAGAGAAATTTGAGGAACCACAAGTTGCATTCAGAATGGTGGAAAGTCGGATGTGAAGATGCAAGTGATAAAAATGCTGCAGCATAAGCAGGGTTCAGATCAAAGGCGGCTTTACCAGCAGGGCCACATGTCCTGCTTTGCCTGGGACAGACCCAAGCTACTCCTGCCAGGACAAGAGTACATTATTAGCAGTGCCCACTTTTACTCTAAAAATAGGACTACGCAGTTGTATGATCACCTATCTTATTTGGGTGTTCCCAGGAGAAACCCTGCAGAATTCGATTTGAATATAAGAAGTTTACCTGGGAGACAATCCCATAAAACAAGCAGGAAAGTAGAGACATGAAACAGGGAAAGGGATGGAGCATTATCAAGCCACTCACCACTGTGGGCACCTGGAACATAATCCCACCAGGACACTCTGGAAGACAGTGCGAGACATGCCTCCGAGTGTCCCAACCAAGGCAGGAGGAAGCCAGGGCATCTCGCCACCTCCTCCCATCCTGCAGTGATGAGGGCTGCTTCCTGCGGTACTAACTCCCCAGCACTTCCAGCTTGTCCCGTGTTTACACCCAACACACTGCTGAGGCCAGAGGAAAGTGCAGATGACAGCGAATCGCAGTCAGTGGTTCCTGGAGCAGGACTGAGGTGAATGCCGGGCACTGACAGCATCTGCCATATTACGGATCTATTTATAAGCCATGTTAAGGTTTTAATGTTATCTTAGGGGTTAAAGGAAGTCAAGGAAGGATGTTTTTTAATCCATAGAATAACGTGATCAGATTGACACTTTAGCCAGATAATACCATCTGCAGAGTGCAAAATGCATAACAGGAAGTGAGAAGCTGCAGGGAGACCAAATTGGAGGTTGCCATGGTTATCACAGAATTGCACATTGTAATGCACAAAGCAGCTCACATATGTGGAGAAAATGCAATGTCTTTATCTGTGTCTGATGATGTCGTATTCCTTCTGGGTAGCAAAGGCAAATAAGCTAAACATCCAGGCTGGTTTAAAGCTGATTCTGACTTAATCATTTCAAAATTCCTTCCTGGTTGTGCTCTGTCCCTCATGAATAAAAATGTTCAGTTTCTCGAAGAGCCTTTCCCGTCCTCTGCTTCTTTCTATAAGGTGGGGACCAGGTGTACAGAATATAAAAGGAGACAGGCAGCAACATGTCTAGCTTTAGCATTCTAATGATACCGTGGGCAGGGAGAGACCTGGATGCATGCTGGTCCTTGAGTTTGCATGGCCAGGCATCTGCTGGCCTCCAGCCCAGTGTCCTGTGTCCCTGAGTGCTCTTCTGGCCTTGGAGCTTAAATCTGTGGTTGATGAACTTAGAGTCCCTTTCTTTGACTCAGGCAGTGTTCCCAGGGAGCACCTGCCATCCTGCCCTTTGCTTACTTGCTGTGCCCTCAATCTCCCACTTGAGAGACCCCTAAGCCCTAAGTCTCTTTCGCATCCTCCGTCTCCCCATGGCAGGTTGTCGTCAGCTATCAAGCAGTGAGGGCTTTCATCTAAGGCTTCATGCTGCACGAGAATGAGATGATGCACGTGAGGACCAGAGACCCTGTCGGCTTACTCTTCTTCCCTCTCTACATGAGGCTTGGCTGCCCCATGTTAGTACAGGACCGCCCCCCACCACCACCGACCCCCTACACAGCAACCTCTCCCCAGAGCCCCAGACTGGGAAGCAAGGCAAGAGCCCTAAACCCTTGGTCCCATCCGTCATCCTTTAGAAACCCACTTCTGCTCTCTGGGCCAAAGCTTAGCTCTCGTCTCTCCTGCTGTATCTCCTCCTTTTCTCATAGTCTTCTAGGGCATTAAGAAAGAAAAAAGAAAAAAAGAAAAAAAGCTTTGCTTTTACTTCCTACAAAAAAAAAAAGCACCATCTAACAAATAGCTCCAAAACTCAATTGCTTAAAACAACAATTCTATTTTTATCACTAATCTGCGGGTCAGCTAAGGGCCGAAGTTTCTCTTGTACACCTCTCGTCTTCCTCCTGGGACCAGGGAGTTAGCATGGGCATGTTTTTCTCTGGCAGAGACACGAGAGAACAAGCCACTCACACAAGCACTTTCCAGGCCTTTGGTCTTGTCACATCCACTAACATCTGATTATCTAAACTAAGTCATGTGGCCAAATCCATAGTCGAGGAGAAGAGAAACTTGCTTTCCCTTCAGTGAAGAAAACAGCAAAGTCACATGGCAAAGGCCACGGATACAGGGAAGGGTAAAGAATTAGGGGCCGCCAATGCCATCTTCCATACTTAGGAGGTGGATGCAGGAGAACTCTGTGACCTCCTCGATGTACTAAAAAGCCTGAGTAGGCCCGGCTCGGTGGCTCACGCCTGTAATCCCAGCACTTTGGAAAGCCGAGGCAGGCAGATCACGAGGTCAGGAGATTGTGACCATCCTGGCTAACATGGCGAAACCCTGTCGCTACTAAAAAATACAAAAAAAAATTAGCCGGGCGTGGTGGTGGTCACCTGTAGTCCCAGCTACTCGGGAGGCTGAGGCAGGAGAATGGCGTGAACCCAGGAGGTGGAGCTTGCAGTAAGCCGAGATCGCGCCACTGCACTCCAGCCTGGGCAACAGAGTGAGACTACATCTCAAAAAAAAAAAAAAAAAAAGCCTGAGCAAAGGAACTTGGGGAAATCATTTTATTCACTCAAAAGTATGTTCAGTGCTCACATGTACCAGGTGCTAGGCACAGAACAATGGATAAAACAGAAATCTCTTATCTTTATGAACCATGTACTCTCATGAGCATAGACAGAATGAGAAAAGAGTTGTGTAATATAAATGTTAGCAATAAGTGCTATGAAGAAAAGTAAAAGAGGCTTAGCAGGAAAGCATGTTACAATGGCCAGGAAAGTCGTCTTTGAGAAGGCAATATTTAAGCAGTGGCCTTAACAAAGTGAGAAAGCTGGCTGTGTGGACATCTGCTGGAAAAGCCTTCCAGGAAGAGAGAATGGCAGTCCAAAGGCTGTGAGGTAGGGACACGCCTGGCTTGTTCAAGGACAGGAAGAAAACCAACATGGCTGGAATACAGCCATCAAGGGACAGAGTGGCAGGAGACAGATGAAGTCAGAGGGTTAGCCAGCAGCCAATTGCACAGATGGAGACCATCATGGAGAGTCTGCATTTTATTCTAAATGAGATGAGAAACAGTAGAAGGTTTTGAGCACATAAGTAACACAATCCAATTTACATATTAGAAAGGTCATTCCAGCTGTGGGATGCTGTATTAACTGCAGAAGGGGTGGGCTGATATAGGGGCAGGATGGACACTAAGAGACCATTTCAAATACAGTTGTGGAGTCCATGTGAGAGTTAGAGGCACGTGCACCAACGCAACAGCAGTGATGGTGATGGAGAAATCTTTGGACTAGGAACACACTGAAGTCAGAGCCCATAGTATTTGGTGATCAACCGGATGTGGTGGGTGAGAGAAAGAGAAGTCAAAGAGCGTTTCCCAAGGTATTGGCCTGAATAGCTGGCCCAGTGGTGGGGCTGCCTACTACAATGAGGTACCCTGGGAGAGAAGTAGTTTAGGAACTGTGGAATAAAAATTAAGACTTCCATTCTAGCCACATTCAAGGCTATTCCATGGATGCATAGCACTGAGGTGCATATCAGAAACCGAACACCACCTGTAACACGGCCTTTTCCTGTCTTTATCTCCCATCTCCTCCTCAGGCAGATAGATGTCTTGGCTTGACTAGGACATTGATCGTTACTGGGAAAGGCAAAAAAGAAAAAAGCCTATTGATAAATGTCAGAATATATCTCCATTATAAAGTCATTCAGGTGTTGCATATGAACGCAATGATGAAGAAGAACAAATTACTGATACACAAAACAGCTTGGATGAATCTCTAGAGAATCGTGCCAATGGAAAAAAAGCCAGTCCCAAAAGGTTACATACCCAATGATCCCATTTATGCAACATTTTTGAAATGACAAAATTTTACAATTGAGGACAGATTAGTGAGTGCCAAGGGTTAGTGACTAGGACAGGAGGGAAGGGGAAGGAAGAGAGGTGTGGTTAGAAAAGGAAAACAAGGAGGCCGGGCATGGTGGCTGACTCCTGCAATCTCAGCACTTTGGGAGGCTGAGGCAGGAAGATCACTTGAGGTCAGGAGTTCGAGACCAGCCTGGCCAACATGGTGAAATCTGTCTCTACTAAAAATATAAAAATTAGCCAGGCATGGTGGCCCATGCCTGTAGTCCCAGCTACTCGGGAGGCTGAGGCAGGAGAATTGCTTGAGCCCGGGAGACAGAGAAGTTGCAGTGAGCCAAGATCATGCTACTGTACTGCATCTAGGTGACAGAGCTAGACTCCATCTCAAAAATTTAAAAATAAAAAAGAGAGATTCTTCTGCAGTGGGAATTATTCATTATCCTGACTATGGTGGTGGATGCACAGACCTACACAGATGATAAAATTGTGCAGAATCACATTTGCACACATACAAGAGTACAAAATCTGAAATAAGATCATTGGATCATATCAATGTTAATATCCTGATGGTGACACTGTACTCCTGATTTGCAAAATGTCTCCAATGGGGAAACTGGGCAAAATACACAGGGGATCTCTCTGTACAATTTCTTACAACTACATGTGATTCTACAATGGACTCAATTAAAGTTTCAATTAGAAAAAGCAATAAAAAGCCGGGCACGGTGGCTCATGCTTGTAATCCCAGCACTTTGGAAGGCTGAGGCAGGTGGATCGCCTCAGGTCAGGAGTTTCAGACCAGCCTAGTCAACACGGCAAAACCCCGTCTCTACTAAAAATACAAAAATTAGCCAGGCAAGATGGCGGGAGCCTGTAATCTCAGCTACTTGGGAGGCTGAGGCAGGAGAATCGCTTGAACCTAGGAGACGGAAGTTGCAGTGAGCAGAGATCACACCACTGGACTCCAGCCTGGGCAACAGAGGGAGACTCCATCTCAAAAAAAAAAGAAAAAAGAAAAGGAAAAGCAATAAAAGTAAAAGAAGACCAAGTCCACCTTCTTCTGTGGAGCCATTTATTCATGGGATATTTAGTCAGTGTCTCCTAGGGGCTAGTGCCATCCACCCTGGGGGAGCGTGAGGGACAGGAGAGGGACCTGCAGCGATTAAGCCACCGGTTCTACCCATTCCCTCTTTACTTTCCTGCGCTAGCCAGTAGAGATTAGGAAATATGTGGGAATTATTATTTATTTACAGCTTAGAATTTTGTAGTTCTTTTAGAGTCATTATTGAAGAGAATGATTAATATAATACATTTCTTTAAAAAGGAGCTAGAGAAAATGGGGTAGATTAAACTGCCTGCAACTTCTCTCAAGGAAAGTCCCCGATGGCAGCTTATCGCCTTGTGATTTATCTCTACCTCCTAAGAGTAGAATGCAGCAAAATTGATAAATGAACAAATGGCAAATAGTTAATTGAAATTTCTGGTCAGTTGCCTTTGCGTTTTACTATAAGGACAGAAGCAGCAGGAAAGCACTGATGAGAAAGCTCATTGAAGTGATAGGTGAGAAATAATATTTAAACTGAAGAGAAGAAATTATGTCCTGTTTTTCATATCCTAAAGAACATATAGCGTAGTCTTAATGTCCAGAATCTTCTCAAGGCTGAAGGAAATCTATTTTAAAAGAATTCACTCAGGGAGTTCTAGTTCAAGGCTGGCTTCTCATTCTTTTTTAATTGCATTGACTTTCATTCTTAGACATTTATTGGGCTTTATTATTATTATTGCCTTATAGAATCATAGGAGGCCCTAAGAAATAATTTGTTGAAACTTTGTCACATTACAGCTGAGGAAAATGAGGCCCAGAAAGGTTAAATGAAGCCAAGGTCACATAGCTGGTACTTCACAACGTTTCCTTTTTTTTTTTTTTTTTTTGAGACGGAGTCTCACTCTGTCACCAGGTTGGAGTGCAATGGCGTGATCTCAGCTCACTGCAACCTCCACCTCCCGGGTTCAAGCAATTCTCCTGTGAGTAGCTGAGACTACAGGCTCACACCACCACACCCGGCTAATTTTTGTATTTTTAGTAGAGACAGGGTTTTACCACATGAGCCAGGATGGTCTCGATCTCCTGACCTCATGATCCACCCACCTCGGCCTCCTAAAGTTCTGGGATTACAGTCATAAGCCACCACACCCAGCCTTCAACGATATTTTCAATATAATATACTGTCAATATCAGAATAATCTTTGCTTATCACCCAAATGTGTCTTTAACAAGGACAATAAATAATTAATACATCATAACCTGCAAACATACTCTCAATATCTAGATAAAACAGCTGCAAAGGCAAATCTTGTCATAAGTGTAGGCTGGAAGAGGATATTTTGAACATTGAGGGTCAGGCTCAATACAGGCTCTGTGTCAGAACACCTGCAATTCCAGTTGCCTCACCTGCTCGAGGAGCTTTAACAGGTTTCTTACAAATCTCAGCTTCAGTTTTCTTAACCGTGAAATGAGAATGATAGTAGTGCCAATATCATAAGCTTTGTTAGGAAGATGAAAGATGCTATCATGAATGTAAAGGGCTTATCACACAGCCTGGCACACAGTGAGTGTCCAGTACGTCTTAGGCAGTATCATTACATCTAATCTTTGACTTTTAGCTAATACAAATAAAGAATGGCTGACTCCAATCCTGGGTCACTCATAAAAAGAACACTCAAACAATGAAAAACTGAAAAAAACTTTTGATTGAAAACCAATTGGTATCATCATCTTTCCATGGTTTCCAAAATTAAATTATTTTTAATTAACAAAAGCAACCCCCACCAAAAAAAATCATTTATTGTTAAAATGTGATGAGAGATCAGAAGTTCTGTTTTAATCACATTTTTAGTATTTGGTTAAAGAAGATTGTCAAAACACTTATTTCTGTCCCAAATCTTCAACTCACCTGTCTTTGACACACAACATACTTTTGCATACCCAATTGTTTTGAAATAAACAAACATTTGAAAGCCAAAATTCTAGGCTGGGCTCGGTAGCTCACACCTGTAATCCCAGCACTTTGGGAGGCCAAGGCAGGTGGATCACCTGAGGTCAGGAGTTCGAGACCAGCCTGGCCAACATGGTGAAATCCCATCTCTACTTTAAAAAACTACAAAAATTAGCCAGGTATGGTGGCAGGCACCTGTAAGCTCAGCTACTTGGGAGGCTGAGGCAGGAGAATTGCTTAAACCCAGGAGGTGGAGTTGCAGTGAGCCACCAAGATCATGCCATTGCACTCCAGCCTGGGCAACAAAAGCAACTCTGTCTCAAAAAAAAAAAAAAAAAAAGAAAGAAAGAAAGAAAGAAAGAAAGAAAGAAAGAAAGAAAGAAAGAAAGGAAGGAAGGAAGGAAAGAAAGAAAGAATTCTTATTATTATAACATTCCAAAGTATTCCAGAAGGCATGGAAAATTTTTGAATTTCTTATTTATATACAGTTGATCATTATTATTATACATTTCATATTTACAAATTCACCTACTCTCTAAAATTTATTTAGAACCTCAAAAGTAGTATTCTTGGTGCTTTTGTGGTTATTTGCAGACATGTGCTGTGCAGCAAACAATTTGTCATCAATGTGTACATTCTCATTTGAAGTCAAACAAGGTGATGCCCTTGCCTTCTAGTTTCAGCTCTTATACCATAAACAAGTATCATTTTTGTAGTCTATTCAGTGCCATTTTTTTTGCATTCTTGTGTTTTTATTGGTGATTTTACTGTATAAAATGGCCCCTAAGTGGAGTGCTGAAATGCTATCTATTGCTCCTAAGCACAAGACGCTGCGATCTGTCCTGTGGAGAAAATACATCTGTTAGATGAGCTGTCTTTAGGCATGACTGATTGTGCTGGCAGCCATGAGCTCAATGTTAATAAATCAACAACATTTATTTCAAAACTGAATATTAAATAAGATACACACATAAAGCAAGGTAATGTATTGGTTGGTTGATAAAATGTTATGACCAGATGCTTGCAGGAACCTAACCCTGTATTTACTTTAGGAACAATGTTTTAGTATTCACTAATTGAGTGTTAGCAGCAACTGTATGAAACATAGCTACTGCAAATAGTGACAATTGACTGAATTATTTTTAACCTGCATCACATGAATATGATGATACATTATGTTTTTATATTATTTTGCAGTTTAAACAGCTCTTCCACAGCTATTATCACACATGATGTTCATGGAGCGTTACAGTTTGGCTGTGTCCCCACCCAAATCTCATCTTGAATTGTAGCTCCCATAATTCCCACTTGTTGTGGGAGGGACCCGATGGGAGATAATTGAATCATGGGGGGGTTTCCCCCATACTGTTCTCATGGTAGTGAAGAAGTCTCATGAGATCTGATGGTTTTATAAGGGGTTTCCCTTTCAGTTGGCTCTCATTCTCTCTTGCCTGCTGCCATGTAAGATGTGCCTTTCACCTTCTGCCATGATTATGAGGCCTCCCCAGCCATGTGGAACTGTGAGTCCATTAAACCTCTTTTTCTCTGTAAATTACCCAGTCTCAGGTACGTCTTTATCAGCAAAGTGAAAACAGACTAATACATGGAGGTAAGAGGAGAGTGGTTACTGCTCAGCACACTAGATTAACAAGTCCAACTAAGGCTACCCAGGTAGAGCCTGGTCTTCTCCTTCTGGTTTGTGAAATCTCATGGTGCTTCCTATAGCATAAAGACTGGCTGTCACTCAACACCACTGCATCTTAAGGTCCGTGGAAGGGGAACATAACATGTTTCGAAGAAAAAGGTCTGGGCTACAAAGACCCTTTATGTAATCTTGCTAACGACCTGGAATTTAAACTTTGGAGAGCTTGAAGGTTAACAAATTGGAATAAAAAGAAATCAAGTCACTCCTTGTTTGAATGCTCTGAAGAACAAAACAGAAAAACACAATGAAATGGTAACAGAAGAAGCAGATTTGGCCCAATAAGTCTATGCTTTGAATGTTCCTCCGGCACTAACATGGCCACATTTGGGAAGACTGGCATCCCCACAGACTTTTCTGTAGCACTTTGAAGGAAGAATAGAGCAGTTGTAGAAAAACAAATGTTTGCATGAAAGAATTATTCACCTCTTAAAAATCTATAGGGTGTGAATAATCCTGCTATAAAAAGCATTAAATGTTTATAACAGATATTTAATGGGACTGTTATGTTTTTTGGCAGCAAGCATGGCTAGATTTTGAATGTCACAGCTCTGTGCTCTGGTGATAAGACAGACTCTGTGGTCTAAGTAAGAATTATTTTCCTGCTTTTAAATGTAGCTGTTAAAAAACAATAAAGTGTATTTATCTAAGGAAGATAATCTTCTAAAAGAAGTGTTTAATAATTTTTAATTCACAATTTATACTACTTCTCCAAGGTAAATTCATTTTCCAACTGTTACTCCATCTTTATTGACTGGGAGGAATTAGCATTCAAAATACAAACTCAGAGGTTAAAGCAAAGCCATACACAGAAGTGAGCCTTATTCCATTGTCTTTTATCACGGGTGCCAGATTTATTTAACAGACTGTCTTTCAGTCTCACTTACAGTAACTAGACAGGTACTATGGAGGACAGTGTATGTTGAATGCCTTCCAAGTGTGAAACACCTGCCTGGCACTACATTATCACTAATTCTAACCTTGCAAGTAAGTGCCTACTTAAATCTGCACTTGACATGTGAGGAAAGAGGCTCTGAAGTTTTAAAGTGACATGTGCCAAGTCATATAGCTAGTAAGTGGTAGAACCATGATTCCAGGGTGGGTCTTTCTGTGCTTGTTGGTTTATTTACTGTCTGTGTTTGTTTTATGAAAGAGAAAAGACCCTGAGAGATAGGCATAGTACAGGTGACCCTTGAACAACAGGAGAATTAGGGGTGCTGACCCCCTATGCAGTCAAAATTTTGCATACAACTTTTGGCTTTTCAGAAACTTACTGCCAATAGCTTACTGTTGACCAGAAGCCTTACTGATAACATGAACAGTTGATAAAGACATATTTTGTATATGTATTATATACTGTATTCTTATAATAAATTAAGCTAGAGAAAAGAAAACATTATTAGGAAAATCATAGGAAAGATAAAATACATTTATTATTCCTTAAATGGAAGTGGAACATCATAAAGGTCTTCATCCTCATCTTCTTCACATTGAGTAGGCTGAGGAGGAGGAAGAGGGGTTAGTCTTACTGTCTCAGGGTTGGCAGAGGCAGGAGAAAATCTACATATAAGTAGACTCATGCAGTTTAAAACCATATTGTTCAAGGGTCAACTGTGTATTTATTTGATGCTTCAGAAAGGGGACCATGTCAATTCCTGATAAGGTTCTCTCCTCTTTCCTTTTCCTCCATCTCTCTGTGTCGATCCTAGTGCTCTCATCGGCTTTTAACCAGTAGAGGTCTCCAAACTGTCTTGTGGCAGCCTGGGCTCCCTATACACAGAAAGACCTGGCTTCAAAATTCTGGTTAATATGGGAAGTGCATTAGGAAGTAGAAAGGAAAGAAAAGTCAAACAATAAGGAAAGGATTAATATAAATCATAAATTAATTTTGTGGGCCTAATTACTATTTTTTAAAACACTGTAAGTTTTAGTAGATTTTCTTACTCTAAGTTATAGAAGTCAAACCCTAAAACACGTTAAAAAAAATCTTTTTGTTATTTCTTAACTATTACGGTTATTTTATCAAAATTAATTAATATCAAATTAATGATAATACAAAGGAAGTCACATTATTAATTAAACAAAGTGACTTAGCCTTGCAAATAAAACACTATCGTGTGGATTAATAGTTTGAAGGTTTAACTTTACAGCCTTTTCAATTGACTGTAATTTAGAGCATTTTTAGGTTCACAGAAAAATGGAGCAAAAAGTACAGAGAGTTTCCATATACTCCCTCACCCCTCCCCACGTTATACATAGTTTCTCTTCTTATTAACATCTTTCTACGTCATGTTTTTGGTGTTACATACTTGCCACACATAGTACCCTAATAATCTCTTGGGCCGTACATTCTCTGGGTTTGGACAAATGTGTAATGACACAGATCCACCATTACAGTATCATAGAGAGTGGTTCCCCTGCCCTAAAAGTCCTCTGTCTCCACCTGTTCATCCCTCCCTCCCCTCTGCTCCTTGCCCGGTCCCCAGGCAACTACTGATCTTTTTCCTGCCTCTATAGCTTTGCCTTTTCCAGAATGTCATATAATTGGAATCATACAATATGTACCCTTTTCAGATTAGCTTCTTTCACTTTGTAAAATACATCTAAGTTTCCTTCAGGTCATGGCTTGATAGATCATTTCTTTTGATTGATAAATAATATTTCAGCCTTATTTTTGTAAGGAAAAAATCAAATCAAGAAACTAAAGTTTGAACAGCCACTATAGAAAAAAAGGCAAAAGTCAATAAACAAAAACAATTGTTCAGCTTCGCTCATAATTGTATACACCTCCCAGCTCTTGGACTAGGTAACATCAGTGGCCAGCAAGATGCCACCGATTGAGTGATTGTTTTTATTTCATGCCATGTGACCCATTGGCCCTCCTTTTCCTGACACATTTATAATCATCTTAATCCCAAAGCAACTGTTTTTAACAAATATGCATATATCCTCTGATTTTCTGTTGCTATAACAGAATACCCAAGAGTGGGTAATTTATAAAGAAAATGACTTTATTTCATTCATGCTTCTGGAGGCTGGGAAGTCCAAGGTCCAGGGGCCACTTCTGGTGAGGACTTTCTTGCTGTGTCATGGCATGGTGGAGGGCATCACATGGTGAGAAGGCAAGACCAGGTCAACTCAGGTCTCTCTTCCTCTTTCTTTCTTTCTTTTTTTCTTTTTTTTTTTTTGAATTGGAGTTTCACTCTTGTTGCCCAGGCTGGAGTGCAATGGCATGATGTTGGCTCACTGCAACCTCCACCTCCCGGGTTCAATTGATTCTCCTACTTCAGCCTCCGGAGTAGCTGGGATTACAGGCACGTGCCACCACGCCCAGCTAATTTTTGTATTTTTACTAGAGATGGGGTTTCACCATGTTGGCCAGGATGGTCTCAATCTCTTGACTTCGTGATCGGCCCGCCTTGGCCCCCCAAAGTGCGGGGATTACAGGCGTGAGCCACCGCGCCCAACCTTTTTTTTTTTCTTTTCTTTTTTTTTTTTAAAGACAGTCTCACACTGTCGCCCGGGCTGGAGTGCAATGGCACAATCTTGGCTCACTGCAAGCTCCGCCTCCCAGCTTCAAGTGATTCTCCTGCCTCAGCCTCCCAAGTAGCTGGGATTACAGGCGCCCACCACCATGCCCAGCTACTTTTTTGTATTTTTAGTAGAGGCGGGGTTTCACTATGTTGGCCAAGCTGGTCTCAAACTCCTGACTTCGTGATCTGCCCGCCTCATCCTCCCAAAGTGCTGGGATTAAAGGCATGAGCCACCGCGCCCCGCCTCTCTTCCTCTTTCTTTAAAGCCACCAGCCCCATCATAGGGACCCACCGCGATGACCTTATCTAATTCTAATTACCTCCCAAAGGCCCCACCTCCAAATACCATCAACATATGAATTTAGAGATTAAGTGTCCAACACATGAAATTTGGGGGACACATTCAAACCATAGCATCTTCTTTAAGATAATGTAAAACTATTAAATTAAATAATAGAGTAGAAATCACACTAATAATTTGTGGGTCTATTCAGATTATATATTACCTAATAATTTTTACCTATTTTTTGAAAATTGTTCCAATCATTCCCCCTGCTTCCTTTTCAAAAGAGTCAAACATAGCCAGTTAATTTAAGGTATCTGCAAAACCTTTCCACCAAGACTTTTATGGTACAGAGAAGTGACTCATAAGCCACAATTCAATTAAATTTAGCAAATATTTCTTGGACAACAACTACATGCTTGAGGTTGGCATGGGGACCTGTTTTTAAACCTCCTGTTCATTCTACTTTGACTTTTTAATTACAACAGATTAAAATATCTTATTCAGCAAAAAAAAAAAAAAAAAAAAAAAAAGAGAGAAAAACCCACTTTGTATATTGAATTTTTGAATACACAAGAGAAGTGCAACTCAGGGTGGTGGGATTCCTACCTAGCAGGCCTGTCTCCCTTTGATTACCCCAATATTCCAAAGGTGCAGGTTTTGTGCACCAGGCACTCTAATAGGACCCTATCAGCTCAGCGCTCTCAGAAATTTCAGTTGTCTCCCAGCCCCTAGAAAGTCACAATAGCTCCAGGGTTGTGCTTAACGGGCCATAGTGGGAGGATTTGGAAAGGAGAAGGTGAATCTTTTCTGTGAAAAGCAGGTGGAGGAAACTGAAGAGTGGGGAGAAGAGAGGTGGATGCTGACCTGAATTGTGTTTTCAGGAGCAGGAAGAGTGTGCTCTCTGCTTAAGAGATGACCTGAATGGCAAGACTACATGTCACTCGGATGGTACACAGATACTGTCTTGATGGGAGTTTTCGGAACAGATTTGTCCTCCCAGGGTGAAATAGCAGAGAGATTTGAGGCAGCCCTCAACTAGAGTATGACCAATAAACACCAACTTACTTGGTTTTTTTCATTCCTTTTTCCCTGTGTCCAAGAAGCAAAATGATAATGTAAATGAATACACACACACTCACACTCACACACACACACACACACACCCCATGTTGGGGAGGCGGGTAAAGGAACAGAATTGCTCTCAGCAAACACTGGTGGCATCAAAATAGCCAATCATGCTGATGGCTGCCACACAGCTCATGGAAGCCTTCCACAGGCCAGCTCTCTTGCTGTTGGCTGGCTGGACTTCCCAGCTCAGTCCCTCACCTCTTTACAGGACAAGGCACACCAGAAACCAAGGCTGTTGGGGGAGGCAGCAACAGAGACCAGACGTTCCCTCTGCACACACATGATGTCATCAATAGAAACTCTGCTGATGATGAACCCACTTTCACACAAACCTTTTAAAGCCTGAGTTATTTTTTGCAATGACAAAAATAACAAACCACATTTTTTTAAATAGCTTCCTTAATAATAATGGAAATTCAGGTGACATTAATGAAAATTGTAGCACATGTTCAAATCAGAATCTATGTTCAGTGTTATATGCAGAATATAAAGGGATTTCTTTTCTCAATTGATAGAAAAGGGAAGTCATATTTAAGTAGTCACGGTATCCTAGATTTTTAATATAGCAACATAATTGAATAATATTTTGATGTATCTGGTTTTAGTATTTAAGGTGATAAAATATTAAATTTAAGCTTAAAATTAAAAATAGAGGAAAAAGAAAAACAAATTGAACTGAAGTGAAAATGTTTCTTGTTTTTTAAAAAATCATTGTACATAACAGTTTTCACCTTCACTTTTAGAAATCAAAGCACAACCCTCTATCACATGGTAAAGAGAGTCAGCCATACGGAAAACCAAGCTGATTGTTCTATTCCTGTGCAAATTCTAACCCTAAAATATTTCTCTATAATGCTTTAAGAAAGAAAGTAAATCTGGAAAACATTTTTTATCATTTTGAAAGCTGCCTTTGTTTTGATTCTCATTGTGAAGGTCAAGGATAGGAGAATTTCCAGAGATGGGAATTTATCTTCACTTTATGCTATCATTTCAGAATGAATAGTGATCAGGTTCTAAATAATGCATTCCACAGGTGTGAGCAACCACCCTATCACTTTCTATCTTCATGTGGCTGGTGCCTACAACACTAAATTTCTGCGGCAGATTCATTAAGGTAGTTGTTCATTCCCTGTCGTAATTAGACCTCCCATTTCAGCCTTTTATGTCAAATCCATCACTCACCCTGGCACTCAGGCTCACCTCTTTACAAAGCCCTTCCCTGGTGCTATTCTGGCTCTAAACACAGGTGATAAATGTGTCAGCATGGGGCACATTCCTGTCCCTGAGGACCATCAATCGTTAAGTACAGAGAGCTTTTTCCAGCAGCCTTCTAAGATTTATACCCATGAGGATATTATTTTTGTGGCTGCATGAAGGAGAATTATTACTTGAAATGGGTTTTGTGAAAGGATGGTTTTGGTGTTGCTTTGGCACCATTTTAAGCTTCTTTTCACAAAATTGACCGGCGCAAGTCAGAATTTATACTTCTATGAATGTAGATCTTCACCATCTGATGGTGCTGAGTCCTACAGAGAAGAGGATTTGAGACTTTCCAGTTTTTAGAGATCTCTACGATGTGCAAGAATCTAGATATTCAGAGGCCGTACTGACTTCAATCACATGGTAAATTAGTATATGAGAGTTCGCAGTAATAAAAGAAGTATGTAAGTGATCAGCATGTGTTTTAGTCAGGGTTCTCTAGAGGGACAGAACTAATGGAATATATATATAATATATATATATATAAAATATGGAATTTATTATTAAGTAATAACTCACACGATCACAAGGTCCCACAATAGACCATCTGCAGGCTGAAGAGCAAGGAGAGACAGTCCGAGTTCCAAAACTGAAGAACTTGGAGTCCAATGTTCCAGGGCAGGAAGCATCCAGCACAAGAGAAAGATGTAGGCTGGGAGGCTAGGCCAAGTCTCCCTCTTCACATTTTTCTGCCTGCTTGTATTCTAGCCGTGCTGGCAGCTGATTAGATGGTGCCCACCCAGATTAAGGGTAGGTCTGCCTTTCCCAGCCCACTGACTCAAATGGTAATCTCCTTTGGCAACACCCTCACAGATACACCCAGGACCAATACTTTGCATCCTTCAGTCCAATCAAGTTGACAGTTAGTATTAACCCTCACAGCATGGGAGGTAATGCGTATGTTAAATAGTTTCATTTAGCCATTTCACAAGGTATACAGATTCCAAAACGTCATGTTGTATACCACAAATATATGAAATTTCTACTTGTCAATTTTTGAAAAAAAATGTTTAAAAGAAGTGTGTAAATAACTTCTTACTTTAGATATAAAATCTTAAGGGCCAGGAAAAGGGCACCAAAATCCAGCCTTTGACATCTCAGAAGAAGCGATGATTAATTTCATTTCATTCTGTTGGTTTCCATGGAGTGGTGCTGGGTGGTGAGGCAAACACAGCAGCAGGAATGTTAACATTTCATATTTTAGCCCTAGGAGTAAAGAAAAAAAACATGTCCCAGATCAGCACTAGCTAGAACCAGGAAACCCCAAAAGCAAAGGTTTTTTTGTTTTGTTTTGTTTTGTTCTGTTTTTTGTAAAAGACAGGTTTTCACAAAGGAAGTTTTCCAAATTCTATGTATAAGAGAGTTGAGAAGGAAGATTTTTCTCTCTTCTTGCCCAGGAGGACAAAGGGAAGAGTACCACATTAAGCCATTCAGGTAAAGTGAAGCTTATTGAACGCTGTGGATTAGGATAAAACTAATAGAGTTTTCATTTTTAAGCCAGTTCAGATATTCAGATTAATTATGGACGTAATGTAGAAAATACCAATTTCTGCAAGTTCTACATTTCATGTGAAATCCCAAAGAGGTTAAAGCTGATGGGTTTTAACTGATGAAAACACGTGCCTCTGATTAAAAATGTTTGTAGTGATGAAAACAAAGCATGCTAGAGTTACAGTGTGTAGCATGCTGAAGCCACCAGCAGAGCTTAGGGGACAAAAACAACTGTTTCCTAAGAGAAAAAGAGGCTGAGTATCTTAAGCCTGGGGAAGGGAAAAGACAGTAGTTAGCAAGCTCAGGTTAGCCACTGGTATTACTCTACCTTTCATGAGACTCTTCACTGGGGAGGTTGGGGAGATTCGGTCTCACCTAAAGGAGAGATGGCTCGTGAACCCAAGGATGCTGCAGGGACCCTGGCCACCACTTGCAGCCCAAACACTAGAATGAGGACCAGAGAACACAATCTAGCTGCTTCCCATCCATCCCCTCCACCCCAACATCTGGTCTCAGCAACTTCCTCTGCCCTACACTGGGATGCCCTCCTTAGTTGATCTGAACCATGCAGCAGATGAAACATGTTGGCCTGACAAGTAGCAGATGGCTATAATTGCCTGAGCCATCTACACCGGCAAATTTTTCTTCTTTATTTGCATATGAGTAAAATTTTTCCCAGTGTTAAATTATGGTGTGAGTAGAGATTTTTTGAGGGAGCACAGCGCAGTTGTATAGACATCGTGATTGACAAAAAATAAATAAAATAAAATAAAATAAATGACCAAAATCTGCTAAATGAATTTGAATTAAATTGTTCTAATGCTTTCTTTTTCTTTGTAACTCTTCACCACCACCTCAATACATGCATTCCTGGACATTCACGCATACACTCACACAAACACAAGCATGGTATTTTTTGTGTGTGAGACACTGAAGGT
The DNA here is from genome assembly GCF_000001405.40 of Homo sapiens. Lineage (NCBI taxonomy): Eukaryota > Metazoa > Chordata > Mammalia > Primates > Hominidae > Homo > Homo sapiens. Next base: position 148,293,257 of record NC_000007.14, read on the forward strand.
AGCATGAAATAGCAACCAAAAAATCTGCAGTATTAAAGTTAGATATGACTTGGTTTGACTTGCAAATCAACTGCCTCACTAGTAAGATGACTTCTGGTATATGGATATGTCTCTCAGTTTTACAGGCTTGTTTTCGGATTAATGGTAATAGATGTAAAGAATTGGGCACGGTAAGTCAATAGTCAAAGCTATTCAACAAATTGAGGACAAACAAGGAAATGGGTTAGGAATTGGTCTGTAGCCAGTCTCAGAAATGTTGTATTAACCTTTGGGATATAATCCCCCAAAATTAAAGTATAGTGATTCATCCAAAAGTACAAAGTGTTACTAGCAAGATGGATGAGGATTTCCATCTAACATTTTTCATCTTCTTATCCCTGACACATTATTAAAACACCTAGATTTTGGTAAAAGAGGAGAAGTCATGTCTTGGACAGGATTGAAGGTTGTGTCAACATTCCCTATGCTTTCAAGTTTCAGCTTTAGAATCCAAAACCCCCGGGCACAGTGGCTCACATCTGTAATCCCAGCACTTTGGGAGGTCGAGGCAGGCACATCACTTGAGGTCAGGAGTTCAAGACAAGCCTAGCCAACATGGTGAAACCTCATTTCTACTAAAAATATGGAAATTAGCCAGTCATGGTGGCGCATTACTATAATCGCAGCTACTCGGGAGGCTGAGGCAGGAGAACCGCTTGAACCCGGGAGGCAGAGGCTGCAATAAGCCGAGATTGCATTGCACCACTGCATTCCAGCCTGGGCAGCAGAGCGAGGCTCCATCTCAAAAAAAAAAAAAAAAAAAAAAAAAAAAGAATCTAAACCCTTTGGTTCACAGATGGAAGGAAAAAGCAGGCGGTGTTTCCTATTCTATGTGTATGCCATGCCTCGAGCCCTGAACAGGCTACTCATCTGTGGCCAATATTATATTATAACCTCTCCATTCTCAGAAGGCACGCTGGCACCCATCTCTGCAAGAAAGGCATCAAATTGTCTGTAAGTCACAGAAATGTTATTGTATTGTCCTTTATTCATTCATTCAGAATATACTCTCTAAGCATCTATGTAATTAAACATTACTAAGCTTACATATAATTAACCTCGAAATAATAACTAAGCATTGTTAGTTTTATGTACGGCTAACTTAAGAAATAAACTCACTTTCTAGTTATCAGTTTTGGAAAACAAAAGAGCTCTATAACAATTTTGAATTAATCAAAAATTGGAGAATTCTGTGCAAACCTATAATCCTTCCCTCTTTAGGGTGAAGGAGCAACGCTTTGTGTTACTTAAAGACACACTTTGCCATTGTGATTAACTATAATAACTTTTAAAATAATCAAAAAATCAGTCCACTTTCTTGTCTATTTGTGTATTGATCACTAAAATTATTGTACCTAGTATGATCAACTTTGTATATTACTGTATTTCATTAAAGCAGCTAACTTCTCTTGTCCAGACATAAGAGAACACTAGAAGACAAAAAACAAAAAACTTTTATGAATCTCTTTTCCTTACGAACACTAATTTTATACCATTTTAACATACTTGAGGTGGCAAAAATAAACATATATATATTATATCATCCAAAAGTATTTGCATATTTTATTAATCTATTGCCATTCTAAGAATTCAGGGTAAGTTAAAATTGTGTTACCAACCAGCATTTATTTTGCATCTGTTTCACTCTTGAAATTGTCTAGGTTTCAAAGATTATTAACTAATTAACTTCACCATTTGTCTAAGGTCTTAAAGTTAGTTAAGGATCGAGAAATCACAATTTTTGCAAACATAATGAATCCTGACACCCAGCACTTAAAAATTTTACAAAACTTAATTCTTTTAAAAATCCATTACCTTTTCATTTAATTGACTATAATTATATGTATGTATGTGTATACATTTTAAACAAGTTATAAAATTTGTGATGATCCACTTATAAAAACAATGTAGGAAATTTAGGAACTTAAATGATAAGAAATTTATCATTGGTCTCGTACAAACCAAAGTATTATTCTGATATTATTTTTATATGATAAATGAAATTGTAAAGACCCTAAGTCGTGCTCAAGGCTCTTCTTCTATCTTGAACTAAGGTTTTCTTCTTATCTTGTAACTATAGTAACAAGGGCTACAAAAGAAGCACAGCTTAATATTTTTCCTTTTAGACATTTTTGACTACTAATATGGTACAGATATTCCTAATGTGCACTCATAATGATAGAGTGAATATTTTAATCAATTTTTTTTTTTTTTGAGACGGAGTCTCGCTCTGTCGCCCAGGCGGGAGTGCTGTGGCGCAGTCTCGGCTCACTGCAAGCTCCGCCTCCCGGGTTCACCCCATTCTCCTGCCTCAGCCTCCCGAGTAGCTGGGACTACCGGTGCCCGCCACCGCGCCTGGCTAATTTTTTGTATTTTTAGTAGAGACAGGGTTTCACCGTGTTAGCCAGGATGGTCTCCATCTCCTGACCTCGTGATCCATCCGCCTCGGCCTCCCAAAGTGCTGGGATTCCAGACATGAGCCAACGCGCCCGGCCTCAATTAATTTTTAAAGCTTCCCAAAAGAGGATAAAAGAGGAGGAAAGGAATAGAAAAAAAAGCAGTGATAGGGACCCACCTTCAGACACTTAAGACATTATCGCTGTAAAAAGCAAGGGTCTTCCCTCTGCAAGAAGAGGCACTAAATGTTTAGATTCAGGAAAACCCACTGTGACATATATACATGCAAAAGATAACTCTTACAGCTGGTATAAACAATTATTTGGGCCTTGAAATTCTTATCAAGTAACATGTTTAAAAGCCAGACTTTATTAATCCTCAAAGAACAGAAATGTAGAAAACAGCATTTACAATGAGCCAAAAACTCTCTCTTTTTAGATTGCAAGACAGGTATCTCTTCATGAAGCTTTCTCCAATTTTTGTTCTCAGGCACCACTCAAATGAACAATCTTGTTCATGTCAAAAAGGTCCCCAAAATAGCCACTGCAGTTCAAAATTATCCTGTGAAATTGGCTAGGCATGGTAGCTCACATCTGTAATCCTAGCACTGAGGTGGGCAGATTGCCTGAGATCAGGAGTTTGAGACCAGCCTGGGCAACACAGTGAGACCCCCCCCGCCCACCATCTCTACTAAAATACAAAAAATTATCCAGGCATAGTGGCATACGCCTGTAGTCCCAGCTACTCGGGAGGCTGAGGCATGAGAATTGCTTGCACCCGGGGGTGGAGTTCGCAGTGAGCCAAGATCACGCTGCTGCACTTCAGCCTGGGAAACAGAGCAAGACTCTGTCTCAAAAAAAAAAAAAAAAAAAAAAATTATCCCGTGAAATTCTGCCAGTTAAAGACACAAGCATGTCAGTTAAGGTGATGTGAGAAAGCAGGTATTTGTTTCATAGAAAATGCCCAGTTTTAGGATGGATCAGACACTATGAGCACTGCAATAGATCCTCCCACACGATGGTGCCCGTGCAGCCTACTTTCGTCAGGACTTGGCCAAAGCCCATTCCAGGGTCAGACAATCCCTTCTGATTTCAAGAAGCCTAATCTAAACAAAGCAGCTCTCAGGAAAAGAACAAGACCGACGAAAAAGTTCTTCTAAGGGTTCGAAATCATGACCCAAGTCAAAGTTTATTCAAAGAATGTTGATTGTAGGAGAACTTCTGAACTCCTAGGCCCCTGAGCCAGCTCAAGAACTGACTTACCTGGCTTATGCTCATTGTCTCCCTAGAGACCTTTTGTTTTAGAGATAAAGAACACTCAAGACACTGTACAAGCAGACAGTCCATAGGAACATATATCTGTAGACTGGTAAACAGTATCACCAAAGAACAATAAAAATCAGATCAGATAACCAAAAAGTCACTGGTAACCTTATTCCTAGGGGAAGAAAAAAAAAGAGAGGGAGATAGAGAAAAGGAAGGAAGGAAGGAAGGAAGGAAGGAAGGAAGGAAGGAAAAACACCTAAAGTGGAAGGACCTCAGCAGAATATGGAAGCTCAGTTCAGCATGAACTTCTCCTAGCACGGGCAGTGTGGTTACATCAGACAGCTAGAGACACAAAGGGTCTCAAATAAGCACACTAAAATTGGTGAGTGGAGGGTTCCCATCCAAGACTGTAGGGCTCACAGATGAATATTGATGGATCTTCAAATGCAGAGATTAATTACAGCCACTGACCACTAGGAGCCCACCTGTAGTAGAACAAATGTGGGATTCTTCACTCATTGCATCATGGGAGATTGCTCATTATGGAGAACCATAGAGGCATCTCAGTAAGAGGATGCTGGAAAGAGGGTGCTAGAAAGTGCTATTCGGTTTTCAGTAGGTGATTTGGGGAGAGTTAAAAAAAGTAGGGGTTTGTTCTAGATTGGATACTGTCAGGAAGCAGGTAATTCTGTGATTGAATATCTTAATTTTTTTTTATCTTGAAGACAGTAGAGAAAAACAGCTGTAGTTGGTAAAGAAGTAGAAATGATGTGTATTAGGCTGAGAAGGGGTATGTTGGATCATTTTCGTGTTCTGGCCAGTTTTCTTTTTTCAGTGCTGAGACATGTCTCATGGAGTGACCTCTTCTTTGCCTTTCCCCATGAAGGTCACGGAATGACCTTGTCTGATGTTGAGTTCTGTGAAATGGATCACCCCAAACAGAAGCACACATGGCCTGGCTGTGAGTTCCCAAACAGCTCCCCACGCTCAAGAGCTGCTTTTCTTTCTCATTCTCAATTAAGGATTGAAGGAGGACACAAAAACACGATCACCAAAGGAAAATGAAACAAATTTAAAGTAAATAAAACTCAGCAAAAAGAAAAACTACAGGAAAAGAAAAGTAACTGTAGGAAACAATAATGACTTAGCCCTAAATGGCATTTACGTGGTCTTAATCATATGTGACCTTAATCCTATAAAAACCAAATTGTGATCTAACTCCAAGTCCAACCTGCCTATTTTAGAAGGGTAGTTGGATGGTGCTAGTGGATGGTGGGGAGGAGAGTAGAAGCTAACTCATCATCATCCGTATTGGTAAGTGAATAGATAATGCCTAAAAACATGTCATGAAATTGCAATGTCACCACATCATTTGGAGATACGTTTTTAAGTCAGCCTAAAGGGTTGAAAATGCTTCTAGGCTGGGGCAACGGGAGGGCAGAGCATAGAAGATGGTAATGATTCCTGACCATCCTTCAAGAACTATCTTTCTAATTTTTTCCATCTTCTCCTCCCTGCTTTATTCTAGCCACACTGGCAGCTGATTAGATGGTGCCCACCCAGATTGAGGGTGGGTCTGCCTCTCCCAGCCCACTGACTCAAATGCTAATTTCCTTTGGCAACACCCTCACAGACACACCCAGGAACAATACTTTACATCCAACCAAGTTCCAAGGATTGGAACAATACAATCAAGTTGACACTGAATATTAACCATCACACACAGACATATATACATATATATATATTTTTTAGACAGGGTCTCACTCTGTCACCCAGGCTGGAGTCGAGTGGTACAATCATGGCTTACTGCAGCCTGAAGCCTCAACCTCCTCAGCTCAGGTGATCCTCCCACCTCAGCCTCCCAAGTAACTGGGACTACAGGCACACACCACTACACCTTGCTAATTTTTGTATTTTTTGTAAAGATGGGGTCTCACTAAGTTGTCTATGGCTGGTCTCGAACTCCTGGGCTCAAGTGATCCACCCACTGTGGTCTCCTAAAGTAAGTCATGGCACCTGGCCAACTTTTTTTTTTTTTCTTTTTTTTTGAGATGGAGTCTTGCTCTGTCGCCTAGGCTGGAGTGCAGTGGCACGATCTCAGCTCACCACAATCTCTGCCTCCCAGGTTCACGCCTTTCTCCCACCTCAGCCTCCTGAGTAGCTGGGACTACAGGCGCCCACGACCACGCCTGGCTAATGTTTTGTATTTTTAGTAGAGACAGGGCTTCACCGTGTTAGCCAGAATGGTCTCAATCTCCCGACCTTGTGATGTGCCCTCCTCAGCCTCCCAAAATGCTGGTATTACAGATGTGAGCCACCACACCCGGCCCCAACTTTTTAAAAATATTTTTTAAAGAATGAGTAGAAGTAGCCAGGTGAAGAAAAGAAAAGGAAACAGAGCTGGGAAAAGGTGTGTTGCATCAGAAACTAGAGGAGGGCATTTCGCCTGGACCAGAGAAAGTTCTGATGAGCCAGGAAGGCTGGGCAGAGCCAGCTCAGGCCAGGCAGGCGCGATTCTGCACAGGACAGGATGCACCTCCAATGACCACGTGTTTCTAGGTTGTTTCCAAGGGCACACAGATAACAGTCAACGATTTTTTTCTGACTAGCCACTGTAGTGATCGCTGCTGTGTGACCCTCCACACTTTGCTTCCCTCGGGCCTCAGCTCCGCCTCATTCCACTGGCCTAATAATTAACTCAGCCTTATTTTCCCAACCTAATTGTTTCACAGACCAAAAGAAATATTGGATGTAAGGTACAATTTGAAAAGTGTAATGTGCTCTAGAAATGCATAAAATGATGATTAGTCTTTGCCCAGTAGGCTTTTTAGCTTAATAAGCTCCTGATAATACAGAAATCACTGTGAGCAACTGGCAGAGAAAGATTTTTCCATTTCTCTTAACTAAGAAAAGAGATTTAAAGTCACTTTGGAGAGCTAACACTAAATAATAATAACTGCCAAAGGAATTGATTTGATGCTGAATATAGGCTTGTGTAAGGAGGTAAAAAACTGTCCACTAAAGTTAATGCTCATAGTAAGAGGCCTCTGTCCTTGAATTCACCTTGAGAGAGTTGAACAGGGATAACGGATTTTCAAGGACACACATCTACAGAGAAAGGGCGTATGGAAATGGAAAAGGGAAAGCTGCTCCTAGTGTTTTTGCTGAATTGTTCTCTTTCTCTAACCCAGCAGGAGAGATGCTAAAGGAGATTTTGTCAAAGAAAATCCTTGACATTGGATTCTTAAAAGCCTTATGGTTTCATGATAGGCCCTTTACCAAGGATTCTTAAGGGACAACCTTATGTTAGAGAGAAACAAAGTCCTGAATCATATTTCCTCCTCTCTGGAATATATGTAGAAATACAAGTGAGAAGATAAATACATGTGTAAAAAGAAAATTCATACTTTCATACTCGTTATATGTTATGATTAAATGTTGATTGCATTTGGAGAGCATCAGCATATGAACTATATTACAGAAAGGATAGTCTTTTGTTTCATGGCTTAAATCTTCTTTTCTCAATAAGATTAAGGGGCTAGCTAAGATTATAATCATAACAATTTTTTTTTTTTCACTGAGTTTCCACCCTGTGAGGAACACTAGGCTAAGCAGGAAAAAAAAAAAAAAAAGTCACTAAAAGACCCTAGGCTATTTGTACACCAATGTTCATAGCAGCATTATTCACAATAGCAAAAAGGTGGAAAGAACCAAGTGTCCATAGATGGACAGATAAACAAAATGTGGTCTATACGTACAACATGGGTGAACCTTAACATTGTGTTAAGGGAAATAAGCCAGTTACAAAAGGACAAATACTGTATGATTCCATTTCTATGAGATACTTAGAGGAGTTGAAATCATAGACACAGAAAGTCAGATGGTGACTGCCAGGGGCTGGGAGGAGGGACAATGGGGAGTTGTTGTTTAATGGGTATAGAGTTTCAATTTTGCAAGACAAAGAATTTCCAGAGATGGGTGGTGGTGATGGTGCACAACAATGTGAATACACTTAATGCCACTGACTTGTACATTTAAAAGTAGGTTAAAATGGGCCAGGCATGGTGGCTCACACCTGTAATCCCAGCACTTTGGGAGGCCGAGGTGGGTGGATCACGAGGTCAGGAGTTTGAGACCAGCCTGACTAACATGGTGAAACCGCGTCTGTACTAAAAATACAAAAATTGGCTGGGCATGGTGGCATGCGCCTGTAATCCCAGCTACTCAGGAGGCTGAGGCAGGAGAATCACTGGAACCCGGGATGCGGAGGTTGTAGTTAGCCAAGATCATGCCACTTCACTTCAGCCTGGGTGACAAGGCGAGACTCCGTCTAAAAAAAAAAAAAAATATATATATATATATAGGTTAAAATGTCCATTTTATGTTAGGTACATTTTACTGCATAAAAAAAAAAAAGACTATGGGCAAGCCATTTCCTTCCTCTGTGCCTCAGTGACATTATCTGTGAAATAAATGTGTAGAAACAGATGGACTCCAAGGATGCATTCAACTCTGCAAGTCTGTGTGTCTAAACATCCCCTCTGTCCTCATGGGGTTTAGCAGCAAGTTGGAGAGATGAAATGCAGTAATAAAATGTAAAATACTTCTAGTTAATGTTTTAAGTACCCAATTAGTGATTTTTTAAAAAGGAATATGTATTCCCTTGAGAAGGGATAGAGCAGAAATCTGGAGGACAGCTTTGTGGAGATAGAACTGGACCATGCCCACTTCAAGAAGTATGTAGCTCGGATGTGGATCTGTGCCAGTGGGATGGCCTTAACAAAGGTGAGCAGGCTTCACCACACCAGGGGGTCCGTAGAACAGCAAGAAGATGAGCCTGTTGGTGGTAGAAGGCTTCTGCGTCAAAGTGAAGCATTGAGGAGGACCCATGGGTGACTTTGAGGGACTCTGAATGGAAGAGAGTGGATGGACGAGACACCTGGCCTATCCACAAACTGGCCCTATAGCCTTGAATAATCACTGGGACCTCAGTTCCTGCTGTATGACACCAAGGCTAGCTCCTTTACAAGACGGAAGCACAGCCTAGCTGATCTTGCTCTTCCTGCTGGAAAACTCCATGATTCTCTTTGCCTTCCAGGCAACAGACACATAAGATTCCTGCTGCCAGGTCACTGCTGGATGCTGGACTCCAGCAGTGACAGGCCCCGAACCTGCCCTTGTGAAGGCCACTTTCTTAGTGGTGGTGGCTCATCTAGCAGGCTGAGGAATGTACAAAGGATGTGTAAGAAAATCTACCTAGCAGTAGGGTATATAATGAGTTAAAGAACTGAGCTTCTACTGGCAATGAGACCAGCCAGGGTAATGTTGCAAAAGTTTAGATGTACATTAAGACCCAGAAGGGCTGAACTTGGTTAGGGGAGAGGAACATGAAATGAAAAGTCTAATGCATGAACCCTAGAACCACATGAATATTAAAGCTCACACTGAAGTATCTGTGCCTCCTTCTCCCTTGCCCTGCCCTTTTTCAGCCTCCCAAAGCTGCACCCATTCCTCCTGTGTCCCCAATATCCCCTATGCCATGTGATGTGGTTTGACTCTGTGTCCCCACCCAAATCTCATCTCGAACTGTAATCCCCATGTGTCAAGGGGGGACCTGGTGGGAGATGGTTGGATCATGAGGGTGGTTTGCCCCGCGCTGTTCTCAGGATAGTGAGTGAGTTCTCACAAGATCTGATGGTTTTATAAGGGGCTCTTCTCCCTTAGCTTTCGCTTCTCTCGCCTGCCTACTTCCCCTTCCCCATGATTGTAAGTTTCATGAGACCTCCCCAGCCATGTGGAACTGTGAATCAATTAAACCTCTTTCCTTTATAAATTACTCAGTCTCGATTATTCTTTTTTTTTTTTTTTTTTTTTTTGAGATTGAGTCTCTCTCTGTCACCCAGGCTGGAGTGCAGTGGCAGGATCTCGGCTCACTGCAACCTCTGCCTCCCAGGTTCAAGCAATTCTCCTGCCTCAGCTTCCTGAGTAGCTTGGATTACAGGCGCCTACTACTGTGTCTGGCTAATTTTTGTATTTTTAGTAGAGGCAGAGTTTCACATGTTGGCCATAGTTGATCCTGATCTCTCAGGAGATCTGCCCACCTTGGCCTCCCAAAGCACTTGGATTACAGGCATGAGCCTTGGGTATTTCTTTATAGCAGTGTGAAAATGGACTAATACACCATGGTAACTGGGTCCCATACATCCTGAAAATACTAATAGAACAAATATTCCCACTCCTGAAATTTAACTTGATCCTGAAGACGAAGGATTTCCTTGAGCTCATAAATGGAAGTGGTTCATCTTCCAGGTAGAGAATGCAAGGTAGATTGGTTTTGTTCACAGGGGTCATGCAGAGCTAAGCACATAGAAGGTGCTCAGTAAGCACCTGCTGAACATACTGAAGTGACATAGCCAGGCAGAGACGGGTAGGTGGACAGCCAACACGCCATGAGAGCTGGAAGGGCGCATCCTCTCTTAGGAGCTTGGGCCCTGGCCAGCTGACTCAGCTTCAAGCTCTGCTAGTACATAAGTCCCTCGGGGCCTATAAGCTTGGCCGTGTTGCAGCTGAAATTTCTGCTGAATAAGGTCATACATACTAAGCTGAGAATGCAATAGTGAGAATGGCTCCTTCTTTTTCGCATCCCAGACCCCAGAATAGAAATATTTACCATCACGTCTGGATGATAATATCAATAAATTATCAGACATTGCACGTATTAAGAAAAGCTCATTTTCTGGAAATTGTCCTTATTGTCCTAATTGGGAATTATCTTGAAGCCGTGGATAGAAAATGACCTTTCAGATTGCTGGGACAAAGCCCAAGTCTAAATTGGAAACGTGTTTAATGGCTAAGACAGCCCACTTCCAGATTAATTATGGATGCTTTTCCATTTCAAGATTACATTAGGAAGGAAAGTTGTCACTGGGTGGAATGTGAGTCTCCACTGCATCCTTTTAAGATAAATAAGTTGAAGTTTGAAGAAAATTTGAGATTACTTTTGGTTAAGTGAATAAAATCTGTTTAGCGAACTCTTTGAAGTTGTGGATTGCCTGGGAATCTACAAATCTGCAACCTCCCTCCCTCTAGATACATTCAGAGGGTAGAAGAGAAGTCATTTAAAACCTTATGCTTGACTTCTTGCTTCCTGCCTTGGTTTTTAACCAAAACTAAAAATAAAAAAGCCAAAAGAGAGGAAACTTGATAGGTTCAAAACAGGAAATTAGATTGTAAGCAAAGAAATTGTCCAAACATCGAAAAAAGGAACACATCAAAGAAGGGAGGTGCTTTGTTTTTATACTTTGTTATCGTCCTGGAAAAAAATGTCTGCTGCCTCTGATAATACATATTAACACTTCTTTTTTACTTAGCTTTTATTTTTATCAAAGTAATAAAATCATCTTGTTTAAAGTGTCAAATAGTTCTATATGGCTTATTAGGATAAACAACCATCCAATTTTCAAGATTTTTTTTTCCTTTGGCATTTGTCTTTAATTCTCTAAATATATTCACCTGCTACTTGAGGGGTCAGCAGACTTTTCCTGTAAAGAGCAAAACAATGAGTATTTTAGGCTTTGAGAGCCATAGAGTCTCTGTTGCAGTTACTCACCTCTGCTGTTGTAGCACAAAAGCAGCTGTGGGCAATATGTAAATGAGTGGGTGTAGCTGGGTGCTGAAAAAACTTTATCTACAAACACAGGTGGCTGCACAGTGGGCTGTCCTTTACCGTCTCCTAGGCTACTCCTTGAGTTTCTGTTTTTAGTCAGTCACTGTTAGGTGACTCCTGACTATGGAAGATGAGGATTAGGCTCTTTCACAGCCAACAACTCTCCTCCATGGCCTCCTCCCCTCCATGTTTTTCCTTTACCTTCACCCTTCCAATAGGATGGTTTACTGGCTTTGGATAGATCCGTATGCAGTGTTTACATCATCATGCTTTTCATAACTGAACCATATAATAGAGCTGTGTTTCCAGCCAGGCATGGTGGTTCATTCCTATAATCCCAGTGCTTTGGGAGGCACAGGTGAGGGATTGCTTGAGGCCAGGAGTTCAAGATCAACCTGGGCAACATAGTGTGAGATCCTGTCTCTACAAAAAAAAAAAAAAAAGACATTAACTTGGTATTATGGTGCACACCTGTAGTCCCAGCTACTTGGGAGGCTGAAGTGGGAGGATCACTTGAGCCCAGGAATTGGAGACTGCAGCGAGCTATGATAGCAACACTGCACTCCAGCCTGGGTGAAAGACCAAGGCCCTGTCTCAAAAAAAAAAAAAAAAAAAAAAAAAAAAAAGTTTCCTTTCCTACACACTATTTTGTTTTCCTTAATCATTATATTGTTTTCTTCATTTGCTTAATTTTTTGTGAACTAATTATGAATTGAAACTCAAGCTCTCTCTCAATTTTAAAATCTTCCCTCAACATATTGCAGCCAATATAAGAGGAACTCACCATTTCATTTTCTTGGAAACTTCTACCCCAGAGCATTCTGGCTGGATAGGCCTTGGGCATCTGTATTAGTCTGTCTTCCTTCTGCTATAAAGAACTACATGAGACTGGGTAATTTATGAAGAAAAGAGGTTTAATTGACTCGCAGTTCTGCAGGGTTAACAGGAAGTCTGGCTAAGACGCCTCAGGAAACTTATAATCACAGCAGAAGGTGAAGGGGAAGTAAGCATGTCTTACCTCTGCAAAGCAGGAGAAAGCGAGTGAGCTGGGATCTGCCACATACTTTTAAACCATCAGATCTCTTGAGAACCCACTCACACTATCATGAGAACAGCAAGGGAGAAATCCGCCCCCATGATCCAATCATCTCCCACCAGGACCCTCCCCTGACACATGGGATTACAATTCAAGGTGAGATTTGCGGGGGGGACACAGAGCCAAGCCGTATCACCATCCTTGCATCTCTCTTCTCCATCATCATAGATAACCTGGGCCTCCGGATGGCATGAGATCCCCCTCCTACCCGGCTTCCATGACTTTCTCTTTGTTGATCTAGTCCCTTTTTTAAAAATGGAGCCATCCTTCTGTAGCTTCCTGAGAAAGAATGAACGGGAATCACATTTTCTGAAACATTGCAAGTCTGAAAATGTCTTTATTCTCCCTCATGCTTAATTGAAATCAGACTGAATACAGAATTCTCATTTAGAAATTATTTCCCTTCACAAGTTTGAAGGAATTTGTCTATTGTCAATAGTATTGCTCTCAAGAAATTCAATGCCATTTTCATTCTCAATTCTTTATTTGAACTCGGTGTTTTTCTCTCTGGAAGATTTTAGGTTCTTATTCTTCTTTGTTTTCTGAAATCTCATGAATATTATTTGATGTGGGTCTATTTTGACTCTTTCTGTTGGAACACACATGGGGCCTTTTAATCTGGAAAGCCGTTCTTGAACTCTAGGAATAGATTTTGGGGGACAATTTCTTCTTTCATTTCCTGTTCTCTCTTCCCAGAATTTGTTATTCAGCTATCAGACCCCATGGACTGATCTGTTATTTTCTTATATTTTCTTTCATTTGTTCAATTTCTTTGGCTGTTGTTTCCCCTATTCTCTGAACAATGTTCTCAAATTTACATTTCATAAACTCTCATTGAGTTTTTCACTTCTTTTTTTATGTTCTGAATTTCCAAGAGCTCTATTTTTTGTTCTTTGAATGTTCCTTTTTTTAAATCATCTGTTCTCATTTCATGAAAGCAATATGTTATCTCTCAGAAGGTATTAATGACGGTTTTCTCCCAAGTGTTTCTTTTCCTACTCAGCCTCTTTTTCCTTCAAGTAGCTTTCTTTGGTTGGTTGGTTGGTGTGTGTGTGTGTGTGTGTATATGTGTATTTTCGTTTGTTTTTCTTTTTTCTTCTCCTGTGTTTGAGACATGTCCTCAAATGCCTGGTTCCCCTTTAGCTGACACCCACATTTAAGATTGAGGCACTACAAATATGACTGAAAGTTCTGTGCACACAAATGGGGCCTGTCACCCGTGGGCTTCAGTGGCTGAGTTGTTTCATCGGGAAGCCCCTGATGTTGCATCACTGAGATTTTTGTCTTGGGCTGATTGAAAGCTCCAGAGAAGAATTTTCTGCCCTGTTGCCTGGAGGGTAGACACCTGGCTGTCACTGTTCTCACAGCTAAGAAGGAAGAGGACTGCGAGGTTCAAGATTCAGTGTGTAAATGTTGACTGAAGATCCCTGTTTTCAGTACAGAGCCCCTGCCGTCCTATGCCTAGAGTCCTCCAACTGAGAGTCTCTGTGTCCTTCCCAGAGAATACATCGTTCCTCTTCTGCCAGAGTGAGGGGAGGACAGATGCCTGGGGTAGGGATCTGGGGATATAAATGTTCTTCACGAGCTTCCAGTGAGTTCTTCTGTTTTTAGCTTCACATAAACACACATATCCAGTGGAAACTCTTGCCATCAACTGCACAAATAATGGGCGGCTTTGCAGTGCCAACCGGGCTACTTCTCAGCACTCTCCACCTCAGTGCAAGCATCTGTCCTTGGATATGCTGCCACTTAAGATGGTTCTGCTGTTTTTCAGCTCTAAAAAGGTTGTTATCATCCCCTGCCTCATGATTTGTTCTTACACCTTCGTATATCTTAACACTTCATTCCCCTTTTCACGGGCTTTATGAAGAAGCAGTGGTAAATGTAGGTGCTCAATCCACCATCTTTAATGGGAATCCTTCAGCACTTCTATTTTAGAAAAAATGTGAAGAATATACATAGAGACTGGGCATGGTAGCGCATGCCGGTAATCCCAGCAATTTGGGAGGCGGAGGTGGGCAGATCACCTGAGTTCCGGAGTTTGAGATCAGCCTGGGCAACATGACAAAACCCACCCATCTCTACAAAAAAAACACAAAAATTGCCCAGGCATCGTGGCACACACCTGTAGTCCCAGCTAATGGGGATGCTGAGGCAGGAGAATTGCTTGAGCCTGGGAGATGGAGGTTGCAGTGAGCTGAGATCACACCACTGCACTCTAACCTGTTTGACAGAGTGAGACCCTGTCTCAAAAAAAAGAATATACTAAACACTCATTTCACAATATTCTTGACTTATTAAAGCTGGAGTCATGGCATAATTTCCAATTTGCTTTTCAAAAGAATTAATTGATCAGCTAAGAAATTTACAAGTAATTTTTTTCAAATAGTGAGGTCCCTTAGTATTAAAATGAATTTCATGTTTTAATACTAGGTTTTTCCTCCCACGCAGTGAATTTTCTTCTTGCTTTAAGAAGAAATGCTCTGGAGAGAATATAAAATTATATATAGTTGTGTATGAATTATATGTCATAGGATTACATATAATTATATGTAAATATAATTACAATTATAACATTAATACATGTTCACTGCAGAAAACTTGGAAAAAAACAAAGAGTTTAAGAGAAACTTCATAATCAACTGTATTCTCAACAACTACAGAAAGCTTAACCAATGATTTGTCCGTATCCATGGCTAAGAACGAATGTACCTACACATCTGTGCCATTTTTAAATTGGCATTTTTTAAAAAGTAGATCCAATTTTAGAAGTTTGAAATCTAGTTTAAAAGCCTAGATTTTATTTTTTTCCATTTTAACCTATTTATGTATTTATTTATTTATTTATTTATTTATTTATTTATTTATTATACTTTAAGTTCTGGGGTACATGTACGGAACGTGCAGTTTTGTTACATAGGTATACACGTGCCATGGTGGTTTGCTGTACCCATCAACCTGTCATCTACATTAGGTATTTCTCCTAATGCTATCCCTCCCCTAGCCCTCCCACCCCCCAATAGGCCCCGGTGTGTGATGTCCCCCTCCCTATGTCCATGTGTTCTCATTGTTCAGCTCCCACCTGTGAGTGAGAACATGCAGTGTTTGGTTTTCTGTTCTTGGGTTAGTTTGCTGAGAATGATGGTTTCCAGCTTCATCCAAGTCCCTGCAAAGGACGTGAACTCATCCTTTTTTATGGCTGCATAGTGTTCCATGGTGTATATGTGCCACATTTTCTTTATCCATTCTATCATTGATGGGCATTTGGGTTGGTTCCAACTCTTTGCTATTGTGAATAGTGCCGCAATAAACATACATGTGCATGTGTCTTTATAGTAGAATGACTTATAATCCTTTGGGTATATAGCCAGTAATGGGATTGCTGGGTCAAATGGTATTTCTGGTTCTAGATTCTTGAGGAATCTCCACAAAGCCTAGATTTTCTAGAGGAATTCTTCTCTATACAGGGAAACATTGCAGTAATGAGTTTAAGTGCATTGATTCTTTAAGCACATTTGTTTGTTGAATGATAAGACTATTGTATGTAGTTCACATCCAGCCCCCTACACAACTGTCACACACAATGACCTTCACAGTGATTCATGCCTGAACAACATTGTTTCCTTTGCCTTTAGGCTTGCAATTGGGAACTCATTTTATTTGAACCAAAGCCTTCAGTCGAGATGAAAATTTTCACTCACGTCTGTGTGAAGAGACCACCAAACAGGCTTTGTGTGAGCAACAAGGCTGTTTATTTCACCTGGGTGCAGGCGGGCTGAGTCCAAAAAGAGAGTCAGCAAAGGGAGATGGGGTGGGGCCATTTTATAAGATTCGGGTAAGTAAAGGAAAATTACAGTCAAAGGGGGGTTATTCGCTGGTGGCAGGAGTGGGGGTCACAGGGTGCTCAGTAGGGGAGCTTTTGAGCCAGGATGAGCCAGGAGAAGGAATTTCACACGATAATGTCATCAGTTAAGGCATGAACAGGCCATTTTCACTTCTTTTGTGGTGGAATGTCATGAGTTAAGGCAGGAACCGGCCATCTGGATGTATACGTGCAGGTCACAGGGGATATGATGGCTTAGCCTTGGGCTCAGAGGCCTGACATTCCTGTCTTCTTATATTAGTAAGAAAAATAAAATGAAATAGTGGTAAAGTGTTGGGACGGCAAAAATTTTGGGGGGTGGTATGGAGAGATAATGGGCGATGTTTCTTAGGGCTGCTTCGAGCGGGATTAGGGGCGGCATGGGAACCTAGAGTGGGAGAGATTAAGCTGAAGGAAGATTTTGTGGTAAGGGGTGATATTGTGGGGTTGTTAGAAGAAACATTTGTAGTGTAGAATTATTGGTGATGGCCTGGATACGATTTTGTATAAATTGAAAAACTATACGGAATAAGAGAAGGAGAAAAACAGGTATTAAAAGACTAAGAATTGGGAGGACCTAGGACATCTAACTAGAGAGTGTCCAAGGGGGTTCAGCATAATTACTTACTTGGTTGGCAAGTTTTTGGGCTCTATCCTTGAGTTTTTTATGTTGTCATACACCAGGCCAGATTGATTTAGGTAAAAACAACACTCTTCATTTAAGAATATACAGAGTCCTCCTTTTTCAGCAGTGAGTAAGTCAAGGCCTCAGCGGTTTTGGAGGACAACTGCAGCTAAAGAGTCAACTTGGGCCTGGAGGACTGATAAAGTTTGTGATATGTCTGTGATGCTAGCAGAGAAGTCATTAGAGAGGCTACGGAAGGTCGTGACAGAGGTTGAAATGCCTGCTATTCCAGTACCGAGAGCAATAGTAGAGGCAGAAAGTCCTAAACCGACAAGCAAGGGAATTAGTGGAATAACTCTTTTTTGTCGTGTCGGTGTCATGAGGGGAACAGGGAGCTCTTCGGTCCTATTTGCAAATTGAATTTTGGGGGTAAGGAAGACTAGTGTGCATGTGCCTGTCCAATTAGCAGGTAGACACATGTAGGTAGAGGATCCACAGACGAAGAGACCTTGTGCGAGGCAAAACTGGAGATGCAAAGTAAAGAGAAGCAGTGCTGAAAGGGGTGTCTTGTACCCAGACTCCTAGGTATCCAGCTAGGGTGGCAGCCGTCAGAGGTTGTAATGGGGATTGATGAAGTAACTGCGTAGAGGGGGAGGTTCGATTTACATGGTGTGTGAGAAAACGTTGAGTATCTACGAGCAACCTTTCACTGTTATTTTCGGGGCTGGGTATAAGTAAACAAGAAGAGGGCTTTGGAGATGAAGAGTAAAGGAACATCGAGAAGGTGAAAGATTACCTAAGGGAATTCCAGTAGGTCTTTGCTGAGAGATACATAAAGGAGCGGCCACAGGAATAGTAGTTTGTGTTGTGAGAGGTCTAAATATGGGGGGAGTAGAGTTGATATAAGGAGAAAGGTTTTTCAAGTAAGTGTGGAGGAGGGTGGCAGCTTGCTGATGTGAAATGTCTGGGGAGGTCTTGCTGGACCTGTCTAGAAAGTAAATGAGTTCTTCAGGAGGGTAAAAGTGAGGGCTGTTAAAGGAAGTCTGGAGGTGTAGGGAGACAGGAGGTGTTGCCTAGTCTGCATGTAAGGTGGGGACAACTGTGTAGGCCCTGGAAGAAAGGGAAATGCAAAGCCAGTGGTTGTTTGCTAAGGAGGGATTAGAAACGGCTAGGAGAGAATGAGTAAGGTTGATAGCGTGGTGGAGATAGCTGGGGAGAGGTAGAGGGTGGCAGAGGAATGGGAATGAGAATAAAAGTGAGTATAAAAGTAAAGAATAGAACTTCGTCAGGGTGAAAGTACTGGAGGGTCCCCTGCCAGCAAAGATCATCTATCCACTCTAAGAGGGAGTTAAGAGTTGCCAGTCCTGGGCGGGGGCAAATCCTCGAGCTTGATGTGTAGGGAAGGGAGGGGGCCTGAATAATCCCTGAAGAGTAGCAGAATAGCAGATGGAAGAAGTTACTTCCTTGAGGATAGATTTCCACGATGGAAAGAAAATGAGAGGTTCTAAGAGGCAGGCTAGTGGCTTGTACTATAGCATAGCCTGCCTTTGCTGGTGTGTGGCGATTAGGCCTGGTGGAACTGCCATCAATAAACCAAGTGTGTTCAGGGTGAGGAACAGGAAAGAAGGAAATACGGGGAAATGGGGTGAATGTCAAGTGGATCAGAGAGATACAGTCATAGGGGTCAGGTGTGGTATCTGGAATACTGTGTGAGGCCGGATTGAAGTCTGGGCCAGGAACAATGGTAATTGTGGGAGATTCAACAAAGAGTGAGTACACCTGAAGGAGCCGGGGAGCAGAAAGTATATGCATCAGGTGGGAGAAAGAAAATAGATCTTGGAAGTTATGAGAACTGTAGACAGTGAGTTTAACACAGTTTGTGATTTTTTGGGCCTCTAAAAGTATTAAAGCAGTGGCAGCAGCTGCATGCAGACATGAGGGCTAGGCTAAAACAGTAAGGTCATAGTTGTTTGGACAGAAAGGCTACAGGGTGCTGTCCCGGCTCTTGTGTAAGAATTCTGACCGCACTAACCATGCCTAGGAAGGAAAGGAATTGTTGTTTTGTAGAAGGGATTGGGGTTTGGGAGATTAGCCAGACACGATCAGCAGGGAAAGCACGTGTGTTTTTATGATAATTATGCTGAGACAGGTAACAGATGAGGAAGAAATTTGGGCTTGACTGAAGTAATGGGAGCTGTCTGTGAAGCCTTGCGGCAGTACAGCCCAGGTAATTTGCTGAGCCTGATGGGTGTGAGGGTCAGTCCAAGTGAAAGCAAAGAGAGGCTGGGATGAAGGGTGCAAAGGAATAGTAAAGAAAGCATGTTTGAGATCCAGAACAGAATAATGGGTTGTGGAGGGAAGTATTGAGGATAGGAGAGTATATGGGTTTGGCACCACAGGGTGGATAGGCAAAACAATTTGGTTGATAAGGCGCAGATCCTGAACTAACCTGTAAGCCTTGTCTGGTTTTAGGACAGGTAAAATGGGGGAATTGTAAGGGGAGTTTATAGGCTTTAAAAGGCCATGCTGTAACAGGCAAGTGATAACAGACTTTAATCCTTTTAAAGCATGCTGTGGGATGGGATATTGGCATTGAGGGGGTAAGGGTGATTAGGTTTTAATGGGATGGTAAGGGGTGCATGATCGGTCGCTAAGGAGGGAGTAGTGGTGTCCTATACTTGTGGGTTAAGGTGGGGAGATACAAGTGGGGGGGATGTGAAGGAGGCGTTGAACTGGGGGAAAAGGTGGCAATGAGGTGTGGCTGTAGCCCAGGAATAGTCAGGGAAGCAGATAATTTAGTTAAAGTGTCTCGGCCTAATAAGGGAACTGGGCAGGTTGGGGATAACTAAAAAGGAGTGCTTAAAAGAGTATTGTCTAAGTTGGCACCAGAGTTGGGGAGTTTTAAGAGGTTTAGAAGCCTGGCCATCAATACCCACAACAGTTACGGAGGCAAGGGAAACAGGCCCTTGAAAAGAAGGTAATGTGGAGTGGGTAGCCTCCATATTGATTAAGAAGGGGACAGACTTGCTCTCCACTGTGAGAATTACCAGAAGATCGGCATCCGTGATAGTCTAGGGGGCTTCCGAGGTGATCGGGCAGCGTCCGTCTTCAGCCACTAAGCCAAGAAGATCTGGGAAGGAGTCAGAGAGCCTTAGGCCAGAGTTCCAGGGGCTCTGGGAGTGGCTGCCAGGTGAGTTGAACAGTCCGATTTTCAGTGGGGTCCCGCACAGATGGGACATGGCTTAGGAGGAATCCTGGGCTGCGGGCATTCCTTGGCCCAGTGGCCAGATTTCCAGCACTTGTAGCAAGCTCCCGGGGGAGAAGGTTCTGGAGGAATCCCTGGCAGCTGCAGTTCAGGCGTTTGGAGTTCTTGTGTGCTGGAGATATGGCTGGGGTTTGTCTCACAGTGGAGGCAAGGAATTGCAACTCAGAAATACATTGCTACTTGGCTGCCTCTACTCTATTATTGTACACCTTGAAGGCAAGGTTAATTAAGTCCTGTTGTGGGGTCTGAGCACCGGAATTTAATTTTTGGAGTTTATTTAATGTCGGGAGCAGATTGGGTAATAAAATGTATATTGAGAATAAGACGGCCTTTTGACCTTTTAGGGTCTAGGGCTATAAAGCGTCTCAGGGTTGCTGCCAAACAAGCCATGAACTGGACTGGGTTTTTATATTTGATGAAAAAGAGCCTAAATGCTATCTGATTTGGGATAAGGAAAAGGAGCATTAACCTTGACTATGCCTTTAGCTCCAGCCACCTTTTTAAGAGGAAATTGCTGGGCAGGTTGGGGAGAGCTTGTCACTGAACGAAACTGTAAGCCGGACTGGGTGTGAGGAGGGGAGATGATAAAAGGATTGTAGGGTGGAGGAGTGGAGGCTGAGGAAGAATTGGAACCTAGCTCGACCTGGCAAGGAGGGGAGAGGTCAGATGGGTCTGTAGAAAAGGAAGATTAGAAAGACTCAGCGACACTTGGGGTTGGGACTAAGGGGACAGGTGGGAGGGAAAGAAGGAAGATTTGGGACAAGTTGCATTGGGAACAGAGACTAGGGAGGGACCGATGTGTAAAAGAGTGCCTGGATGTCAGGCACCTCAGACCATTTGCCTATTTTATGACAAGAATTATTTAGATCTTGTAGGATGGAAAAATTGAAAGTGCCATTTTCTGGCTATTTGGAACCACTGTCAAGTTTGTACTGGGGTCAAGCGGCATTGCAGAAGAAAATAAGGCATTTAGGTTTTAGGTCAGGTGTGAGTTGAAGAGGTTTTAGGTTTTTAAGAACACAGGCTAAGGGAGAAGAAGGGGGAATGGAGGGTGGAAGCTTGCCCATAGTGAAGGAGGCAAGCCCAGAGAAAAGAGCAAGTAGAGACATGGAGAGAAGGGGTCGGGGGGTTCTTGCCCCCTAGAAAAGCGGTACTTGCCGCTGAGGGTGAAGGAGAAGGAGTTGGGGGGTTCTTGCCCCCCAGAAAAGCAGAGAAGGGGTAGAGACATGGAGAGAAGGGGTTAGGGGGTTCTTGCCCTCCAGAAAAGCGGTACTTGCCACTAAGGGTGAAGGACCAAGGCAGGCGTCCCCGTGTGGTCAGATGCCTCTGAAATGTGGGTGAATAATCAGGCAGGCGTCCCCATGTGATTAAACACCAAGGGAAGACTGTCTTCCCCAGTCCGTGACCGGTGCCGGAGTTTTGGGTCCACAGATAAAACGTGTCTCCTTCGTCTCTACCAGAAAAGGAAAGGAACTGAAATTAAGAGAAGGGAGAGATTGAAGTGTGGCACCAAGATTGAAAGGAGAAAGAGGTTGAGGGATAGTGAGAGAGGTTGGAGAAGAGAGTAAAAAGAGGCCGCTTACTGGATTTAAAATTGGTGAGATGTTCCTTGGGCTGGTTGGTCTGAGGACCAGAGGTCGTAGGTGGATCTTTCTCACAGACCAAAGAGCAGGAGGACAGGGGATTGATCTCCTAAGGAAGATCCCCTGATTCGAGTCACAGCACCAAATTTCACTTGCGTCCATGTGAAGAGACCACCAAACAGGCTTTGTGTGAGCAACAAGGCTGTTTATTTCACCTGGGTGCAGGCAGGCTGAGTCCAAAAAGAGAGTCAGCAAAGGGAGATAGGGGTGAGGCCGTTTTATAAGATTTGGGTAGGTAAAGGAAAATTACAGTCAAAGGGGGGTTGTTCTCTGGCGGGCAGGAGTGGGGGTCACAGGGTGCTCAGTAGGGGAGCTTTTGAGCCAGGATGAGCCAGGAGAAGGAATTTCACAAGATAATGTCATCAGTTAAGGCAGGAACAGGCCATTTTCACTTCTTTTGTAGTGGAATGTCATGAGTTAAGGCAGGAACCGGCCATCTGGATGTGTACATGCAGGTCACAGGAAATGATGGCTTAGCTTGGGCTCAGAGGCCTGACAAAAATGTTGTTAATTGCTCTGGTTATAGACAGAATAGTAGCAGGAATAAATAATCAGAAACATTTATGGATTATATCTTTGTTGATATTTTAAACCTATCAGTTACCTTTCTAGCCTAATGAGAATGCCTTGATAAAGCCACATTCTTGGAAATTTTGGTTTTCATAAATGTGCTTGGGTTTTATAAGTCCTGCTTTGCCTACCACTTGACCAAATTCCCTACAGACTTTTTTATATAAACACCTATGGTTAAGACAAAATGTGTTCTTTCAACAATGTACAGCTTCTGAGAGTAATGTCTAGGCTGGAGTATATTCATATATATTATTTATGCTTTCATTTAACAAACACATGCTGAGATCCTACTTTTTGCCGGACTTAGTACTGATTGCTCTCTCCTGAGCATCCTTCTTAAGTCAAAGAGAATATTCATTGTTAGGGAAGGAAAAAAAGATAGAGGGAAAAAAAATAGATGGCAAGAACATGGCAGGAACCCAGTCCTGAACACCCAGGGGTTTTCAGAATAAGGGAGAGGTTAACAATCTACATAGAGCAACTGGGATTAAAAATGGGAAGCTGGCTTCATGGGGGGAGGAATAGCATTAGGAGATATACCTAATGTAAATGACAAGTTAATGGGTGCAGCACACCAACATAGCACATGTATACATATGTAACAAACCTGCACGTTGTGCACATGTACCTTAGAACTTAAAGTATAATAAAAATATATTAAAAAAAAAAGAAATGGGAAGCTGGCTGCCAAGACTGCAGGAAGACTGTGTCAGATTCAGAGCATGACCATCAGCAAGGTAAATCCCTACTGCCCACAGTCATAATTGGCACCAGACTCTAGGAAGGAATTATATATTTACGTGGTGCCTAATGGGGATGTGAGGATCTCAGAGGGAGAAAACTAGGTAGGCACAAATAATACCCGCACAGGCCTTATTTACACCTATTTTATGCAAAGTTCTAATAGAAATCATTAACTGGTTTCCTAGCCCTTGCAAGATCCAACACAAATTAGTAGAATGTTCTAGAAGGAATAGAAGTAAAAATATCAATCACAGTAAGAACAGGCAGCTAGATGCATATTGGCAAGAGGGCAGATAAATAGAAAGATGTGAGAAGTCAAAAATCCTATTGCGATCTCATTTTGCAGGGAACCAAAGATCCCAAATAGCTCTCTCTGGAGGCACCAGTGTATATATTATTAAAGACTCAGCGAGAAAAGACAATTCACTTTAAGACAGCAAATAAACAAATAAACAATGTGGAGCTGCCATTCCCAATCCATTTATCTGGAATAGTTCAGCCTCATTTGGCAATCTGTATTTTTTCTGAAGCCCCACGGGGTCATTAAAAACTCCATAGGTCCCAAATGTATTTGCATAATGATAGATGCCATCCCCCTGCCTGACAGTAAAGAAGCAGCAATTTAAAAAGTATGATGCCAGCCAGGCACAGTGGCTCTCGCCTGTAATCCCAGCACTTTGGGAGGCCGAGGTGGGCAGATCACCTGAGGTCAGGAGTTTGAGACCATCCTGACCAACATGGTGAAACTCTGTCTCTACAAAAAATACAGAATTAGCCAGGCGTGGTGGCACATGCCAGTAATCCCAGCTACTCGGGAGACTGAGGCAGGAGAATTACTTGAACCCAGGAGGCAGAGTTTGCAATGGGCTGAGATCATGCCATTGCACTTCAGCCTGGGCAACAAGAATGAAACTCCATCTCAAAAAAAAAAAATTCATGGTATTATTCTTTTGAGGAAGCATACTAGAAATCAAGAATCAGGCCAAGTGCTGAGGCTCATGCCTGTAATCCTAATGCTTTGGAAGGCTGAGATGGGAGGGCTACTTGAGGCCAGGAGTTCAAGATCAGCCTGGGCAGGACAGCAAGACTCCAGTCTCCAAAAAAATATTTTTAATTAAAAAAGGACCAGTCTTATTAAAGTAAACTGCAGTCCTGTTACTGATCTTAGTATCAAAGCAATGTTAGAGCCCACGTGGGATTCACACCTCCTAGAGTTCACAGCACAAGTTTGCTGTAACAGTAGATAAGGTCTTGGTTGCCCTGAGCTCATTTCTTTTTTTTTTTTAGACGGAGTCTTGCTCTTTCGCCCAGGCTGAAGTGCAGTGGTGCGATCTCGGCTCACTGCAAGCTCCGCCTCCCGGGTTCATGCCATTGTCCTGCCTCAGCCTCCTGAGTAGCTGGAACTACAGGCACCACGCCCGGCTAATTTTTTGTATTTTTAGTAGAGACGGGGATTCACCATGGTCTCAATCTCCTGACCTCGTGATCCGCCTAACTCGGCCTCCCAAAGTGCTGGGATTACAGGCGTGAGCCTCCGTGCCCGGCCCTGCCCTGAGCTCATTTCTAAATCCATCTTCCTCCAAGGTGGTGGCAAGCATGCTTCTTTATCCCGGAGAGATGGCCCTTTCATCAAAGTCTCATTCAGACCCTTCTCCTTTTGGAATGCTTTTCTTGGGAGGTTGGCTGGGATGCCTACTACTCTTGAGGATCTGCCTCTGATAGAGCCTAGATCTTAGAATCAGGAGAGTTTCTTGCAGGCCCATCAGTTACTGTGAAAGATACCTGAGCTAGTTGGCTCACAATCCACATCCATCAAACCGCCCCCTGCAGAGAAGTCACCCGGCTGTCGCCTGCTTGGCTTGCCCTGCCTCTCGCCATTCTCATTTCATTAGCAATGCGAATGTTCACACCCTTCAATGTGCATATGATGGGTGTTAATGAGCATAACACATCTGTGAAGCGTGTGTGATTTTTTTGCCTAATAAATAGGCAGTAAACAAGAGGAAGGGAAGAGCTACTATCTGGGGGCATCTGAGAAAACAAAAAGCAAGCAAGGTATGAGTCAGATTGATTGTTCAGTGAATCCCAAAGGGCCAAAAACTTCCTAAACTGGTTTTGGTGTTTCTCACTAGGTGTTTGGACAGCTTGGAACCTGGATAGTCCCACCTACCCAAAAGCATTCAAATTAGGCATGCTTTTAACAAAGCAGGTGGCATGGCATGTAAATTGTAGGAACACTGTTAACCTTTGCAAATGAGTTTCGTGGTCCGAATGGATAATTACATATTTCCCTCCATTAGGAGCTACAAACTCATCAAGATTCTACAACCAACCGGCTCTTGAGTTTCAATCTCCATGTGACAAGGGGATTTATTATGAGAGGGCAGAGAGAAAAGAGGAACACCGCTCTCTTTCTCTGCAATGGAATGATGGTCAGAAAAGAACAGATCAAAGGAATAAACCTGCTCTCCTATTAACTCAGCTTACCAATTCTGGCCTACATTTTCAAAGTTATCAGTAATCAAAACATTGGGAAAGGAATTACAACCTCTTCTCCTGAAAGTTTAACAACTTCCCCATGAAGCACTGCTTTTGATTGCATTACAAGCTATTCCTGAAGAATTTATGACCTAAGATACTCTTTGTCAATGTAGGCCATTTGTCCATGAGTGGAGTGACTGATAAATCAGCTATTAACATAGATAAGAAAGCATATCGATTGAGTCAACTTTGTGTTTAATAATATGCTAGACAGTAATGATGCCTGGAAAATACACTCTGTAATTAAGTACTTTTCCCTTTATATTTCATGAAGACTCTTGTATATTTTATTCTGGCAAAATAGATTGTGACTAACATCTCATAGAAAAGATCATCATATTGTGATCCTATATCTTTATCATAAAAGTGAATTTGAGGGAAATTTTTATAATTTTTCAATATAAAAATTATTAAGATATCAAAACTCTTTGTTTTTTCACTACTCCAAGGTTTATTTCATCATCTTAAAAACCTTGTGAATACAATCAGTCTGCTAGGTCAGGGGTCACCAACCTAGGGCCATGGACACCTACCGTGGCCTGTTAGGAACCAGGCCACACAGCAGGAGGTGAATGGCAGACACGCAATTGAAGCTTCATATGTGTTTACAACTGCTCCCCATGGCTCGCATTACCACCTGAGCTCCACCTTCTGTCAGCTCGGCAGCAACACTAGATTCTCATAGGAGCACAAACCCGATTGTGTACTGTGCATGCGAGGGATCTAGGTTGCACACTCCTTATGAGAATCTAATGCTTGATGATCTGTCAGTATCTCCCATCACCCCTGAGATGGGACCATCTAGTTGCAGGATAACAAGCTCAGGGCTCCCCTTGATTCTGCATTATAGTAAGTTGTATAGTTATTTCATTATATATTACAATGTAATAATAATAATAGAAATAAAGTGCATAATAAATGCAATGTGCTTGAATCATCCCAAAACCATCCCCTACTCCCCTAGTCCACGGAAAAGCTGTCTTCTGCAAGACTGGTCCCTGGTGCCAAAAAGATTGCAGACCACTCTGCTAGGTAGAACTGCATTCTTGTGATTATGTATTTTAATGAGCGCATTTCCTTTTCATATGGAGAAGGGAACCACATTGCCTTAATTCCCCAACTTCTGCCCCAAAGCTTTCTAGGCCAATATGGCTGCATTCGAGTTGCTGATGGCTGTGCTACCCTCCCAGGGCTGATGTACAGTTTCCTGCCTGGGCCGTGTCACCAATCACTAGGGTTTAGGAGGCTATAGTCAGATCTTGCAGAATATGTCAGTCTCATTCTCTGTAGAATTTTTTGTTTGCCTGTTTTTTTCTTCTCTTTGGCACTGGACTATGGGCAGTGGCAGTTAGTGGTAGATCCAGGGTGGAGAGCTGAGACCTAACAAAGAATTTTTTTTTCTTTTTTTTTTTTTTTTTTTTTTTTTGAGATGGGGTCTCCATAGGTCACCCAGGTTGGAGTGCAGTGGCTCAATCTCCACTCATGGCACCCTCCGCCTCCTGGGTTCAAGTGATTCTCATGCCTCAGCCACCCAAGTAGCTGGGATTACAAGCATGCACCACCATACCCGGCTAATTTTTGTATTTTTAGTAGAGATGGGGTTTCATCATGTTGGCCAGGCTGGTCTCAAACTCCTGACCTCAGGTGATCCGCCCGCCTCCGCCTTCCAAAGTGCTGGGATTACAGGCGTGAGCCACCACACCCAGCCAACAAAGAATTTTTAGGTTCCCACTATTCCACCCCACCTGTGCTAGACCCTGTGGTGACAACAAAGGTGAAACAGACATGCTGACTGTCATTAAAACACTGACAATCTAAACTAAGAAAGATGAAAAAAATTAATTGAATACCCAGTGGAAAGTAAGAAGGAATAGTTTTAACCTCCTTAAAATGCTTTTGATTGCATTATAAACTATTCCTGAAGACTTAATGATCCAAGATACTACTTGTCAATGTAGGCTATTCGTCAATGAGTGGAGAGACTGGTAAATTGGCAGTTCATGTGATACATACGCTTTCAGAGTAAAGAGAGGTTTCTTCTAATAATGAGAGGAGCGCCTGGCCAGAGAGACCCAGGAAACATATGCAAATACTAGAAATAGCCCCAAGTAGCAAGTGTGGCTATAGATGGTACACGTGAAGGAGAGTAGTGGGGTTAGACCGTGAAGCCACGAAGAACCAGGTTAAGGAATTTAGACTTTTATTTGGTAGGCAGTGGAGAGATGTTGAATTTTTTTTTCAAACAGTGGAGTACAGTGAGGAAGGCAGGAGACTTTGCAGAAGGAAATCAGGAATTCCAACCAATGTGTTGAGTGTAGGATTCTAAATCCAGCACAAAAAAACCTTCAAAGCAGCAGGGAAAGGGTTTGGCTCTGATTCAGCCTCAGTGGTTATACTGTTGCCATCAGGGAGCTGGGCTTGGGGGTGGACAGAGGCTGGTGGCAGAGGGAGGGATGGAGGGACAGAGCTGAGTTTTTCCAAAGCAGAAGAAGACGGTTTTGCAACCTAGCACACCATCTGGGTCAGATTTATCAAACAAGATTATTTGTTGACAGACCATGGTTATTTCCCATTTAAAGGAAGCAATACATATATTGTATCCAAAATGGCTCCCCAAAAGCAGCGTTGAGCTGATGCAAAAGATCAGTCCATTCTCCCAGCAAAAGAGCAGTCTCTTGACATCCCAGGTAGGAGGGATTCATGTATTTCACAAAATGTGTCCAATGCAATCATCAGGCAAATAATATTTTAATGTTTTCTTGACATGCTGAGAGTAAACTTGCTTCGATGCACTGTCTCCTTCTAGGCACATTACTCTGGAGTAAAAGAAGAGAGGAAAGAGACAGAGGAAAGAAAAAATATGTAATCACATATGAACTGCAAAAGAATTCTAGCTGAGGTTCTTAGAACTATAAATTCTTCTTTTTTTTTTTTTTTCTGAGACGGATTCTCGCTCTGTCACCCAGGCTAGAGTGTGGAGTGCAATGGCGTGATCTCAGCTCACTGCAACCTCCACCTCCCAGGTTCAAGAGATTCTCATGCCTCAGCACCCGTCCCCCTCCCCCACCCCAACTAGCTGGGATTACAGGCGCACACCACTGCGTCTGGCTAATTTTTTGTATTTTTAGTAGAAATGGAGGTTTCACCATGTCGGCCAGGCTGCTCTCGAACTCCTAACCTCAGGGGATCCGCCCACCTTGGCCTCCCAAAGTGCTAGTATTATAGGCGTGAGCCACCGCACCCAGCCAAGAACTGTAAATTCTTAAAATTTGGGAGGAACCATCAAGAAAGAAAGCCTAAGCCTTGTAACCATATGCCAACCTACATTGGTCTACTCCCTCTGCCACGCTAGGCATTTCACACTCTCGTACACTCTGAGGGAAACTCGAGAAACAAGTGTAATAAGAAATATTCCCGCTAGAGCATGGCAGCCATAAGCTACCAAATTTTTGTTATAAAATAGAAATATACTTCTAGATGTAAACATGTATATGCTTATATCTAACCTCTCTAGGATAACTTTTGTAAGTGGATTTTAATATAACTAAAACTGGATGCTAAAGAAATAGCCCTCTCTTAAAGTTGTACTTGGGCACGTCTAGGATCAAAAAGTTAATAGTTTTGTCTGTGATCAAGGAGTTAATTTTTTGCTGCAATATGTTTACATCTAACATTCTTTTGAGCTATCCACAATCTGGTTATATATCAGTTTATCCAACCTTATTTCTCCTTTCCTACTTCAAAGACCTCCATTCAAGCCGTTCTCCAAGCTCTTGCCTAAATAAGTAGTTTTGTTTTGTTTTGTTTTGTTGTTTTTTGGGGTTTTTTTTTTTTTTCAAATTTTTTCCTCACTTCTAAGTTTCATTCAGGGACTACCTTTCCCCACTTCCCCTCATCATTCTCTTTTTCTAAAATCTATCCATCCTTCAAAGCCCAGGTTGAAATTTGTCCTCTTCCTGAAATCGCCCCAAAAATGTGCCAAATCATTCAGATCTCTGCCATCTCTGAGTCTTATAAATCAAATTCTTAGTGGCATTCATTTGACTAAGAATAATAAATACATCACTATTGTTATAATCACCATAATACCTGGTGCTGTTGTTAGATGCTTTACCTATGTTACCTCTTATCCAGACAATCCTGTCCTATCACCCCCATTTTACGTGAGAAGAAACCGAGGTTCATAAAGGTTAAATAACTAGTCCAAGTTCACATAGCTAGCAAGTGACAGTCATAATAGTGGTTCAGACCCAGAACCGACTGGCTTAAAAATCCATGGTCCTTCTTCTGTGCCATATGGCTTCCCAATTATGGATTTCTTTTTTTTTTTTTTTTTTTTTTTTTTTTCAGATTGTGATTTAGGTTTATTCTTTTTTTTTTATACTTAAAGTTTTAGGATTTCTTACATTACTTTTTAACAAACGTATTTTGTGCATGATTCTAAGAGGTAGTACACTTTTTTTTTTTAATTGTTTGCCTCATTTTCCCACCATGCCTACTTTTCACTTTGCTGAACCCGTATAGAGTGTCTGGTTAATGTTAGAGAAATTGAATTGAATTCCTGACATTTGGGCCCTTTTCTTGAGTTCCTCTTCTTTGTCCATAGATGAATCATCCCATTACATCTAACTCCGTTGGACAGCTTGCTTCTTCCTCAATTGTATGTGAATAGTTTTCAATCCACTTTACTAAAATCTAATAGTCACCATCTGTGTCTGCTATATAAATGTGAACTCTTGAAAACACTAACATTTGTGGGTCAGAAATTAGAGGACAGTAAAATAAACCACTGGAACTGTGAAGAGGGAGGAGGCGTGAAGAGGCACTCCCCTCTCTGCTGTCTGTGGGTCAACCTTTCCGGCCTGCCTGTTTCTCAAACTGAGTGAGACTTGTCTCTGAAGCCCCATTTTTTTTTTTTTTTTTTTTTTGAGACGGAGTTTCACTCTTGCCCAGGCTGGAGTGCAGTGGTACAATCTCGGCTCACTGCAACCTCCACCTCCTGGGTTCAAGTGATTCTCCTGCCTCAGCCTCCCGAGTAGCTGGGATTATAGGTGCACACCACCACACTCCACTAATTTTTTGTATTTTTAGTAAAGACGGGGTTTTGCCATGTTGGCCAGGCTGGTCTCGAACTCCTGACCTCAGGTGATCCACCCACTTCGGCCCCCCAAAGTGCTAGGATTACAGACATGAGCCACCACACCTGGCCTCTGAAACCCCATTTAATTTTCCAAATGAAGGTGATGTGTCCCAGGCATCATACATAGGCAAGAACCCACAAAGTGGCAGAGGAGCAGGAGCAAAGGGGCCTGGGCACCCCCTGGAAAGTCATCATACAGCTTTACTCAACTGTCACCTTCTCCTGGCCTTCCTTGACCACTGTTTTTAATTGCAAATCCCACTGCATGATGCCCTATCCCTCTTCCCTGACTTATTCTTCTCCATAACTCACATTTTCAAAGCATTCTATGCATTTCACCAAATTGTTTGTGGCCCTTCTCCTCCCACCAGAATGTAATTTCAAGAGAGTAGGGATCTGAGGTCGGGCGCAGCGGCTCATGCCTGTAATCTCAACACTTTAGGAGGCCAAGGCGGTTGGGTCATTTGAGGTCAGGAGTTCGAGACCAGCCTGGCCAACATGGCAAAACCCCATCTCTATTAAAAATACAAAAATTAGCTGGGCATGGTGGCGGGTGCCTGTAATCCCAGCTACCCAGGAGGCTGAGGCAGGAGAATCACTTGAACCTGGGATGTGGTTGCAATGAGCCAAGATCGTGCCACTGCACTCCAGCTTGGGTGACAGAGTAAGACTCCATCTCAAAAAAAAAAAAAGAGTAGGGATTTGGGTCTGTTTTGTACTATGCTAGATACCCAGCACCCATAACAGTGTCAGACACATAGGACATGTATTGAATGAATGAACTGATTTATAAGCAGAATATTTAAGACTGTTGAGAAGCCATACCCATTCTAATCAGGCAGAGCAGAAGGTTAAAAATCCACAACGCTTACTTTTGAGTTGTGTTGAAACCATTGAAAATATCTGTGTCAAACTGATTAATTACCTCGGTTTACAGAATCAGCTTTTTAACATACATAGCAAATTCTATATGCTAGCCAATGGCAAGCCAGATCTCAAGCAAGGCCATTCTTGTAAAATAAATGGACAGATTTTTGTCTTTTCTATTGTATAAGATTCTAAAGCCTTGAAAGCAGTAATATAGAATCTCCTTAAATACAAATTTAAGCATCTTTTCACGTTTATGGCCTCAGTGCCTGTTTATAAAAGTAGTTTTGTAAGAAAAACAGTGTAAGAAAAACATCTAAGAGTAGATGATAAAGACCTATCCTTGTGTGACCTTCAGATGGAAAAGCATAGATTTAATCTGAGATTCCAGAACCCACCTAGTTTTTAACTTCATTTGTTTGTCTAACTTAAGAACGTGAGTCACAACTAACAAAGACCATCTGGTGCTGTTCTTCCCTCCTAGGAGAATGTCTCCAGAAGTAAATAAAGGAGAATCTTGTCCATGCAAGCTACTCTCAGTTCCAATAGAAAACCATTTCAGCATCTAATTCAGAGAGTTGCACAGGAGATGGCCAAAGGCACTATCTGCCATATGTCTGCGTCTCCAGCCCAGCCATGACCCCAAACCAATAGATTTATTTTTAGGTAGTATCATGTAAACATAGAACTTTTTAAACTAGCAAGTTGGGGAAACTTCATGATTAGTCAATCTGCTAGCACATAGCAGAAGCTGGTGGGTGCCTTCCCAGCAGCCAGCTCCTCTTTCTCCTACCTCATAGCACCCCAGTTATTTTCAGGCATCTACCCTCCTCCACACAGCCAAGAACTTCAGGGAGGCTATTTCCTTCCCCAGGCCCAAGGAGCACAGCGTGGAAGGGGAAAGAGAGAGGTTCATGGACGGCTCTACCATGATGCCATGTGTCTGCTAGTAAACTTCTACTGACTGACTGAGCATGCCCCAGGTGAAATACCCTCCAGTACCTCCTTCTGTTTTTGGACTTACCTGTTGTCTTTCTCCAACCTGGAGACTCTCAACCCTTACTGCAAATTACTGCCACGTGGGGAGCTTTTAAAAACCTGCAGACACCCAAGTGCACCCAAGAGAGCCTGTTTCAATGGACCTATGCAAACAGGTTTTTTTTTTTCATTAAGTTCTCTGGGTGATTGTAATGTACAGCCAACAATGAGAAATGTTATACTAATTCCATTACTTTGACCCTGTCTTTGAGATGCTTTGGGAGAGCTTGGCGCTCAGGACCATCTTTGGGGATCTTTTCCATCATCCAGAGGGAAGCTGGATCTTAGAGTCTGGCCTCTCGGTTATGGGTCCTGATGTTTTTTCATTGTGTATGGTTTCCATGATCTGTCCTCTGCAATAAAACAGACATTGCTTTCTATATGTAATTCTACTCATCCTTTTGGGGTCTCTCTTCGTTACCATCTGCCCTTCCATCTTGCCATCTCACTCCTCACTCCCATGATTCTGGACCAAACTAACCAGCATTCCTAATCTAGTCTCTTCTTGAAAGGATTTGAAACGGGGAAGCAGCTCTTCAGGAAAGAAAATAAATAGAGCAAATGGGCCGGGCATGGTGGCTCACGCCTGTAATCCCAGCACTTTCGGAGGCCAAGGCGGGCGGATCATGAGGTCAGGAGATCGAGACCATCTTGGCCAACACGGTGAAACCCCGTCTCTACTAAAAATACAAAAATTAGCCGGGCATGGTGGTGGGCACCTGTAGTCCCAGCTACTCGGGAGGCTGAGGCAGGAGAATGGCGTGAATCAGGGAGATGGAGCTTGCAGTGAGCCGAGATCGTGCCACTGCTCTCCAGCCTGAGCGACAGAGCGAGACCCCGTCTCAAAAAAAAAAAAAAAATAGAGCAAATGGAATGAAGAACCTCTGTAGGGCTGTGTTGATTTAAGGCAGATGTGGGCCACAGTTTTGGTGTTCACACCCAGGTAAACAAGGCAGCTTCCTTCTGCTCATACACGTGCTCCCCTCTGGAAGAGCCAGGTTTGCAACGGGCTCGCAGTGGCTTTCTCATCCTGGCAGCATCCAGTTTCTTGTGGACGTTGCTGCATCCCAACCACCTAGCAGATTACACGAAGGAGTGAAATACCTACCACTGAAAAGAATGAACCCACAGAGAAGGGTGGCCTCACTGCTCCCAGGGGCTGCTGCAGTGGCCCGTGGGCAGCTAGACTGGCCTGCAGGGGACTGACCCTGGTGGACGCCTGAGTCTATGTGCCACCATCTACCCTGTGATAAGTGTAGCTCCGACATGATGTACCTTTGCCTGTTGATTTCCAAGGACAATTATTTTAGCATTTCAAAATTCAGCTCAAGTGCTGGACGACTTCTCCCTGAGTTTTGCTGTTTGCCAGCAGCCTCCTCTTGGCATGCTCCCTTTCCAACATCCTCACTGAACTTGTTACTATTACCACCATGTACTTAGAGAATGCAACTATCAAGTGCTATTGAACACACCTTGTTTTGTAAAAACCCTGTTGTAAATTGCCTCCTTATTCCTCTGTTCCATGGCCAGTCAAATCACACCCTCATGTAAATAGTGACAAAGACATATTACCCAACTTCAAATTCCAGACACCTGAGTCACAGGTGTTGTTACCACTACCCCAAACCACAAAGTGGGATTATGTGTCTCCTAGAACCGTATTATAATAGACACTCACTGTCTTGCAAATTGCTCCTAACTTGGGTAGAATATTTTGTATTTATTACTTTTGAAAATCTATGGGTTTCTATTGCCTGGAAACTCAAGGATTACAGCAGAATTAGAGAATCTGGTCTCTGGATCACAGATCCCCCCACTGCCCTGCACCGCCCCCACCCCTTTCTCATGGAGACCTAATCATCTCCACACTGGATCCACTCACATGGATCTTCTGACCTTGATCCAGAGTTTACAGGTAAAATGTCCACCTGAGGACACTGGTTTCTGTTTTGACAAAGGTAGTTAGGGCCTTGGAAAGTTGTGAAGGAATGGCATATCTCCCAGAACCCTGACTTCCATCAGCATCTTATTCCAGGAGCTCTGAGGAAACCTCTAAGGCACAAGTGTGGAAATAAAGACCACCCAGATGAGAACACGCAGAGGCTATTTATTCAGAGCTTGCTGTAGCAAGAGAGTCAGCCATCGTCACTTGTGCCTGGCAGAGACTCTGAGGCAAGCGGGGAGTGGGAAAGCTTTCAGGTGGAGAGAGGGGAAGGCTGGGGTGTGCCGGGGCTGGAGCTTGTTGGCCCGGGAAAGCTGGAGGAGGGCTGCCTGACACAGGAGGCATCCTGTGTGATTGGTGAGGGGATTATATTTGGCTCCCTCTGGTTGGCCTAAAGTTGGCAGCAGGGACAAAATTAGGGAATCTGGTATCAATTGATCATTTGGGGCCAGCTTCCTGGAATGTCTGCTGCAGATTGTGGGTCAGCGTGCTGTTGTCGCATATGGCCAAGCTGTTGTCTGTCTGTAGATTCCATCTCTTGGTGTTCAATAGGCCTTGGGGCCATGAACTTGTAGGGAGGGTTTTCTCAAGACCTGGGTTATGGAACCAGCATTGAGGTTCACAGAACTCACATCCACCCTCAAATCAGGGCTGGGTCACAGACAGTTTATTCAAGTGCTCCAGGCACCTGTCCCAGGGTCATTCTCCCTAGAAAGACCCAAACAAGCTGGGCGCGGTGGCTCACACCTGTAATCCCAGCACTGTGGGAGGCCGAGGCGGGTGGATCACAAGTTCAGGAGTTTGAGACCAGCCTGACCAACATGGTGAAATGGTGAAACCCCATCTCTACTAAAAATACAAAAATTAGCCGGGCATGGTGGCGCACACCTGTAATCCCAGCTACTCAGGAGGTTGAGGCAGGAGAATTGCTTGAATCTGGGAGGCGGAGCTTGCAGTGAGCCGAGATTGTGCCACTGTACTCCAGCCTAAGCGACAGAGCAAGACTCTGTCTGGAAAAAAAAAAAAAAAAAAAAAAAAGGCCCAAACCATCCCAGGGAATTCAGTTCAAGCCACTTCTCCCTCACTGTGTTCTCCATGCTGCTGCCTGGGGCTGCTGGCCCCCTCCCTGTCTGCAACGGACTCTGACCCCTGGACCAGGACACCCAGCAGGCTCCCCAGGACCACAGATTCTGTCTGACCTTGGGGATTCTCTGGTGTTTCTGAAAATTGCTGAAAGCTTCCAGTGGCCATTGCTATGTTATTTGCTAGTCGGCTAAAAAGTTAAACTCCATTTTTATATGGTCTAGATTAGAAGAGAGGAAGAAACACTCCAGAGGCATCAGAGGCTCAAGAAAATGCCTAGAATGAAGTTCAGACCATCAAGAAGTCCCCGGTGGCTCAGGCACATTCACTGTTTGTTCATTCCTCTGACAGTCACGGACAGCCCCCTGTGGACAAGGCATGGTGGCGGGCTGGGGACAGTCTTCTACTAGGAGGATGGGGAAGACCTGAGAACAGTGCAGGAACAGAAGGAACAAATGTGCGGGCTGTGGGTCACAGTATAATAGGAACACAGGACAGAGGCTGAAGATGGCCCCAGGATTTGAGTTACGAGGCCAGTGCTGTGCTATTAGCAACCAAGGGGACCTGGAAAGGATTGGAAGGGGAAGGTCTTGAGGAGAGGCTCCTGGTAGGTTTTTTCTGATCAATAGTCCCAAGGGTCAAAAATATCAACAGTGACAGTCAGTGCTGGGATCATTCTCCCTCACAGATCTGAACCCTTGAGTATGTTGATTTTAATGACAGGGACGTTCTTTATCCAGCCTTATGCCTGACCAACTCTGATTCATCCTTCAAGTGAGGAGATATCTCTTCACCCTCGAAGCTTTCCCTGATGCACACCCCCCGGGCCAGGGCCTGCCCCAGAGCTCCCCACTGCCACCATCACTTCCCCAGTGCAGGCCCTTACCCCCGTCTGGCCTGTTGGGCTTATTGACTGAGGCCCCCACCCTCCCCAGCCAGCAGCATGCCTGCCCCACAAAGCTATCCAGCAAATACAGATTGAGACACAAATGGATGAAAGACATGGAAGGAATGTATGGATGGAATGGAGGGATGGAGTGGACACATGGAATGGATGGATAGATGGAGTGGATGGATGGAGTGGATGGGTAGAATGGATGGATGGAGTGGATGGATGGAGTGGACGGATGGAGTGGACAGATGGAATGGGTGGATGGAGTGGATGGATGGAATGGATGGATGGAATGGATGGATGGAATGGATCGATGGAGTGGACGGATGGATGTAATGGATCAATGGAGTGGATGGATGGAGCAGACAGATGGAGCAGATGGATAGAGTGAACAGATGGAATGGATGGATGGAGTGGACAGATGGAATGGATGGATAGATGGAGTGGACGGATAGAGTGGAGGGATGGAGTGGACAGATGGATGGAGTGGACGGATGGAGCAGACGGGTGGAGCAGAGGGATGGAGTGGATGGATGAAGTGGACGGATGGAGTGGATGGATGGATGGAGTGGATGGATGGAGTGGATGGATGGAATGGATAGATGGAGTGCACGGATGGATAGAGTGGATGGATGGAGTGGATGGATGGAGTGGACGGATGAAGTGGACGGATGGAATGGACACATGGAGTGGACGGACGGAGTGGACGGATGGAATGGATGGATGGATGGATGGAGTAGATGGAGTGGATGGAGTGGACGGATGGAGTGGGTGAAGTGGATGGAGGGAATGGATGGATGGATGGATGGATGGAGTGGACGGATGGAATGGACAGATGGAGTTGATGGATGGAATGGATGGATGGATGGATGGAGTGGAGTGGACAGATGGAATGGACGGATAGAATGGATGGATGGAATGGATGGACGGATGGAGTGGCTGGATGGAATGGATGGATGGAATGGACGGATGGAGTGGATGGATGGAATGGACGGATGGAATTGGATGGAGTGGATGGATAGAGTGGATGGATAGAGTAGATGGATGGAATGAACGCATGGAATGAATGGATGGAATGGACAGATGGATGGAGTGGATGGATGGAATGGACGGATGGGATGGATGGAGTGGATGGATGGATAGATGGAGTGGACGGATGGAATGGACAGATGGAGTCAATGGATGGGATGGGTGGATGGATGGATGGAGTGGACAGATGGAATGGACGGATGGAATGGATGGATGGAATGGATGGACGGATGGAGTGGATGGATGGAATGGATGGATGGAGTGGATGGATGGAACAGATGGATGGAATGGATGGATGGATGGAGTGGACGGATGGAGTGGATGGATGGAGTGGATGGATGGAGTGGACGCATGGAATGGACGGATGGAATGGACGGATGGAATGGATGGATGGAGTGGAGGGATGGAGTGGATGGAGTGGACGGATGGAGTGGATGGATGGAATGGATGGATGGGATGGATGGAGTGGACGTATGGAATGGATGGATGGATGGATGGATAGATGGAGTGGACGGATGGAATGGACAGATGGAGTTGATGGATGGATGGATGGATGGAATGGATGGACGGATGGAGTGGATGGATGGAATGGACGGATGGAGTGGATGGATGGAATGGATGGATGGAATGGATGGATGGAATGGACGGATGGAGTCGATGGATGGAGTGGATGGATGGAATGGACGGATGGAGTGGATGGATGGAGTGGATGGATGGAATGGACGGATGGAGTGGATGGATGGAGTGGACGGATGGATTGGATGGATGGAGTGGATGGATGGAACGGACGGATGGATTGGATGGATGGAATGGACAGATGGAGTGGATGGATAGAATGGCCTCCTCTTTGTCTAAAACCCCCAGTAGCTACGAATTCCCCCAACAACTACTACACACTGCCCTGCACATGATCACGTTCGGTAAGTTGTGTGAGAGGGCAGGAGGGAGAAAATGGAGCTGCCTGCCTGCCTCACGAGCACCTTTCACCATTTTGATCACATTTCCAGATGCAGCACCACCCTCTGCTCTCACTTCTTTCCTCCCAGACCAGGGAAGCATTGGATGGTGGTTCATGAGGTGCTGGAGGAGCTAAAGAAATTGCTGTCATCGTTTTGTCAAATCCAGGGCCTTTATGTTTTAAAATAGATATACAAAGAGATCACATTTTACCTGGTAAAATCATGACAAACTGAGCGGACAAAAAAAAAAAAAAAACCTATAAACATTTGGCACAACAGAGCAAAAATCATAATTCCTATAATTATTTTTAAACTGTGAAACTATTGTAGAGCATTGAATAGATGTATATTAAAGCCATGTATGCTTTATTTGCTTATGACATGAAATTCTGGTTTCTGTGTGTTCCACCTTCCTATTTTATTCTTAGGATAATAGGATATGATGTGATGCTTTACTCATAGTTAGAGGGAGAATTGACTGTGAATGAGCAGTTCAGAGAGAAAGGATCTTGGGCTTGGCAAGGGCAGGGGCCTCCAGCGTTTTGAGAAAAATGAATTGAGCCTCAGCTTATTTTATAAAAATCTTGACCCAGAGCGTGGCCCTTCTGAACTCCCACCATGTTTATGCATGGTAATATATTAAAAATTGGACTTAGCTAGTAGCCAAATACAGTGCTGTGTTCTGGATACTAAAACAAACTAATTCTCCCTGCTAAGTAAGAAAAATTTCACACATTATCGTCAGTCAGACATGGAAAGAGGTTCTCCAGGGGAAGAGAGAGAAGCAACATCATTCATGTGATTTAAAATTACACCAGGCCATCCATTTATCTGCCTCTCAGGCTGTTTGTCCTTTTTTGAACGATGCTTCAGGGCTCCACGCTGGAAACGGGGAGGGTGGATGTAGAACAGCTTGTCAATGTAATCATTTTACTATAAATCTGCAAAAAAAGAAACAGAGCCTAAACCAAGTATAAAATAGGATCACAGAACCTCCTATGAGCAACTTTGTAAGATTATCCTTTCTAGTGTGAGTACTACCACAATAAACATGATGACATATCCTTTATCACTATGTTGCCCAAAGATTTTTTTTCAGATTTCAGTGGACTCCTCCCCTGCCACTCTTAACAGCCCTGCTCCTCCAAACATAGCTGTATGGAGAGAGATGTCCATCACAGGGATGTTTATACAAAAACATCAAAACACTCATTTTTTCAGGCTGGAAACGGTGGCTCACCCCCGTAATCCCAACACTTTGGGAGGACAAGGTAGGTGGATCACCTGAGGTCAGGAGTTCGAGACCAGCCTGGCCGACATGGCAAAACCCCGTCTCTACTAAAAATACAAAAATTAGCCAGGCATGGTGGCACACGCCTGTAATCCCAGCTACTCGGGAGGCTGAGGTGGGAGAATCACTTGAACCTGGGAGGCAGAGGTTGCGGTGAGCCGAGATTGCGCGACTGTGCTCCATCCTGGGTGACAGATCAGATTCCATCTCAGGAAAGGAAAAAAAAAACACTCATTTTTTAGGTGAAGTTAATTGACTGGGAGGACTTTATGGAACATTTTGGTTCTTTTCCTACTGCTGAAATTTGAATAGAAAGGCATGAGGTAACCTCATGCCATCACTACGAAAGGCTACCAGAAATGATAGAAAACCTCACACAGTATCAGCTACATTGGTGGAGTCCACCTGAATCCCAGAAATTCAGTTCAACAATGTCACTGAGTTCACCAGACTACTGGGAAAGGGATTCATGTAGAGACAGTTGTAAAAATATTGACCCTAACAGAGAAAGATTCACTGCAGTCAGAAGAGATGCCACGAAGTCAGGTCTCAACTCCTGGAGAGGCTCTTTCTGTGCTGTGCAAAAATGTATGTTTATCCGACTTCCCAGGCCTTGAGGTACAGCAAGGAATGCCAGTGTTGGATGTTCTACAAGTGAGGACACTGGAGCCTCAAGAAATAATCTGACTTGCACAACTCCTGTCACTGATTAGTGGCTAAGGACATCCTGATTTCTGCTCCAGAACTTTCCCCATGACATCAGTCTTCCCATCCTTGAAGAGTTTTCAGTTATTCTTAGCGTGACAAGTGATTGCTAGAGTTTGTGTAATTTTCATCATAATGGGACTAATGACCCACAACAGCAGTTCTAGTGACTTCCAGAAGATGTTGTACATCCCCATCCTAATGAATGGCAGCAGCATGACTTACGTTCTTTTATCAGAGAGTCTAGTTTGATCTGAGTTGTGTCTGACCTGGAATTCAGGCATGTCTGGGGCTAGGAAGGTTTTGGGTTCGAGGAGGCTGTTTTCATGAGGGATCCCAGGGTCTCTTGGGAAGGAATTCACTCAAGGGAGGACAGAGGCAAGAGAAGCACAGTTCACTCTCGGGGCTGAAGGCAGCATGGGTTTTAGGTGCAGCCTGGTGACAGTCAATCGGGTGGCCTACCATGTAGTGATTAAGACTTTGGAAAAGCAGGCTATAAGCAAAAATCTAAATTTGCTACACAATAACTTGGCAAGACAATGGAGCAGTGGCTGGCACCATGGACCTTGGTAAGAAACACTAGAAAAGTTAGGAAAAGGGGTTTTTCCAGGTCAGAGAGAGCCAGTGCATGCTGGTGGACCCACAGTTCTGTAGCTATGAGAAATAGCCCCATCTGGTTGTGCAGGAACCACAGGCTGCACTAGCTGCTTTAGTTGTGACCGCAGAAAGCACCCTGCCCCAGCATGGAGCACCAGGGCCTGCACACCTTTGCCAGGCCCCAGAAGCACTGCCACTGCCATGATACCCAAGAAGAGAGAGATTAGCAAGTGCTTTGTACCAGAGGGGAGGGCTGCCCATGCAAAGGCCTGCCTGGGGGAACTCCAGCAATCATTGGGGGAGACTTTGGGAGAGTGGAGAGAAGGGGCCTCCTGAAAAGACACAGCCAGGGGAAACCTACTTTCATGATATCAAGACTCTAATTTTAGAGGGCAGTGTTTGCAGATCCTACCAATGACTCTTTGTCCTTGAGTCTGTGTTTGAGGTGGAACCACTCAAAGACGGGGAAGATGAGGCACCTGGAGCCAGGCGCCTGGTCTTTGTGTCTGCACTTAGCCAAATTCCCTCTCAGCTGTATTGTGTCTGGAGGAAATAGAAGCATGACTAAGCTGATTTGTATTCTGCCAACCAAGGGAAAATATAATTAACACGGCAGCAAGACTCAGCAAACCCCATGGGAAAGTCCAAGAAGGAAAGAGCTCCCGTGGCTCAAGATGATGTCAGAGGCAAAGAGAGGCCAACCCACTCTAATCCCACAGCAGGTCTCCTCTCTAATACCTCAACTCATAAAGGGAAAAGACAATGAAATCCAGGCCTGCCATGCCTTTGAAAAGAACACACAGCCTCTAGGAGTGATTGCAGGGATTGAGCAGACTGTGATGGGGGTTTTCTCATGATGGGAGTCTCCTGCTGTTGCTGAGTGCTGCCAATCACTGCCCACACCTCCAGCAGGGAGGTGACTTCCTCAGGCTCTGCTACTCCACATCAACTGATTAACGCAGCTGTGATAGCACACCTAGCAGAGACAAGAGACTCCCAGACACTAGGCAGGAGTGAGACCAACTGCTGTATCAGATATACACCTAGCTTATAATTACGTGTCAAGAGAAGGAAGATTAGGCAGACATCAGTAACCGCAAGAACTGAAATGTGATGGCTGGTATCCATCTTCAGCCTGCTCCCCAGCTAATCATCCCCTAAAAGAAATGCGGGAGAAAGCTGCCTCCTAATACATTTCATTGGCCCTTCATCTCCGTCTGCTGACTCACATTTGAATTTAGAGACAATTTGCTAAACTTTCTAGATTTTTATTTACTTAACATTGCCTTAGCCTTTTTGATATATTCAACTATAGTATTCTCCAGGTTTAAATATTGTACGTTTTTTTTCACAACTTTAACAAATTAGTGCTCAGTTCTCCTGGCTTGAAATTCCCATATCTTTCATGAAGCTGTTGAAACTAAAAGGCTTAGGAGGAAGGTCACCCACCTCCCTCATTCTCCTTCCCTTCTTGCCCAGAGGAATTTATGTCTGTCTTCCTGCCCCAATATCTACATATCCAGCCATGACTACATTGTTTGGTTTAAGTAACTGCCTCTCATTACAGAACTAGATTCATTTATTCATTCATTCTACAAAAACTTGAAGAACATTTATGCTGGATTTGAATCCAGTGTCAGAATTGTCTTTGATTGGTTCTATCTTATTTCATAGATTTGGGGTTTGAATTTAATAGCTAAGCATATAAATATAATTTTATGCAAGATAGCACCTTAATTCTAGTCCTTATTTAATACAAATAGTGATATAATGAAATGATATAGTTTTATCTAGTTTCATCTAGAGAAATATGGAAGGAAAAATACAAATAGTTAAAAAAAGGAGGAAGGCTGAAAATATATAGCAGTTGATATGCTTCTCAGAGTCATCTTTTACTAATCAGTAGCAGTGGTGATGGTCTTTTAAAAAAAAAAAGTTTCGGTTGCTTTTAAAAAGAGATTTCCAGTGGGAAGCCTGTGAGTACTGACTGGCTCCTGTCTAACCTACACTTCCTGTTTGGTTGATGAAAAAGAAAAAAAAAAAAGCCAAAACTAAAAGGTACATTCCAGAACAAGTAGTCATTTTAACAACTGGCGGAGCCAAGAAAATGCGATCTAGTTTCCCTCTGTCCCCCAGTCTAGAGCCATTATTAAATAATTTAATGCCATAGAACTTATATCAAAAATAGACACATTCCTTAGGAAACATTTGAAACTTACTGGTTTTGACCTTAAAATGTAATCATTCATGAAGAGATCAATCTTTCATATGTTTTCAAATATGAAACACTCAAGTCCATTGTCAGAATCCCAATAGTGTGGAAAGAAACCTACCAGGGCAGGCTTATCTCTGCTCATTCTTTGCTAAAATATCCATTGCATTTGCTAACTGTGAAACGATGGGTAGGTTACTTCACTTCTCTGAGCATTGAAGATGCCCTGTCTACAAAGGATAACAGTCTCTCTCCCAGGGGTAGCTGTAATTGTGAAATTAGGCAACATATATAGGAAGGTGCCTAATGGAGTGGCAATCATTTATTCATTCATTCCCGAAATATTTATCGATTGGCCACAATGCCCAGGCACAGAGCAAGGTGCTAGTGATATCAACACGGGGGACACTTCACATTTCCCCCCATTCCTCCCTAACGGTGCAGCAGACACCCCACTAAAGCTGAGGAGGCCCCTGCTGCTCCCCCTCCCTCTCTGCTCCCTGAGTCTGTGAGAGGCATCGCTCCAGCCTCCCAAGAAAGCCCTCCCCCTGCACATCCAAGCAGCTCCCTCTTATCCTGATGCCCTGACCCGCCTGCCCACAAGGAGCCTCCTCCCTGAGCCGGGAGGACTTTCCTTCTCTCCTATGACAAGCCCTGGCCCTAGGCAGCTGAAAACAATCACCCAGGAAGCTCCTTCACCGTCAGATTCCCTGACAGCCCTGGATCTAGCGAGAATCAGGTGATTTCGATGTGAAACGAGGTTTGGGAACCACTGCTTTCAGTCACATTCTTTTTGTTTGATCTTCTCAGAATCAGCAGGCATTTCCCTCTGCTACTTTGTCCAAGATCCAACCCTTCTCATCTGCGTCTTGCCAGTCTCTCCACTTTAGAGCTTTGTTACCAGCTACTTCTAACCTCTTGCACAGAAATCTCTACTCACCACTGTGGAGAGTGAAAAAGGAATGGGTTTTTATGTATTTCTAGCCAGCTCTTGGCCCTGCGCCATGCAGAGTATATGCTGTACATTGGACTTTCGGGACACTTCTCTGTTAAATTCTAAGCCTTATGTCTGTGGTGTCTCCACAGTGAGTAAGCTCTTAATCACATTCCCTATTGTACCTTCTTAGATGAAAGAGCAATGGGTCAGGGGGACTTTTTAAATGTCCTTAAACTTGATTAGTTTAATCTTTATTATGGCTACAGAATGTTTCTTAAATTTACATACGATAAAATCCACTATTTTATATTAAGTAGAGTTATGAGTTTTGACAAACAAATATATTCAGGTAGCCACCACCATAATCAACACACAAAGCAATCCATTACCCCCAGATTTCCCTTACATCCTTTGTTGTCCCCCTCATCCTGTACTTCCAGCCCCTGAGAGCCACTTATCTGATTTCTGTCCCGACAGTTTGCCTTTTCCACAATGTCATGTTATATAAATGGAGACATACAATATGCTGATGTGAGCATTTAGAAAGATCATGTATTTAAACAATTATTAGAGTAAGGGCTGGCTA
This sequence comes from Homo sapiens, assembly GCF_000001405.40. Classification (NCBI taxonomy): domain Eukaryota; kingdom Metazoa; phylum Chordata; class Mammalia; order Primates; family Hominidae; genus Homo; species Homo sapiens. Next base: position 148,338,254 of record NC_000007.14, read on the forward strand.
TGGTGACTTAATTTTTTGGTTTCTGACACCTATAATCTGATTTGAAGTGTGTCATTCTGTGCATCATGATCCTTTTTGCAGAACCTGTGTCTATTAGAAAATCCAGATGAAGCAGGCTCTTCCTGTTGTCCTTCATTTGGAAAAGACAGAAGAACAGAGCGCTTTACGAAAGTCAAGTTACAGCTTCCTAATTTTCTCTCCCATGGACAAACTCTTCCCTCCCCCCACCCCGACCTAGCCTCTTACCCACTATCCTTTGCAAATTCCTATCTCTTATATTGCCCAGTAATTGGGGCGTGGGGGGGTGAGGGGGGGGTGAGTTACTGCTGATGAACCAGGAGGCAGAGCAAGGTTTATTTTGCTAAAGGCTTCAGCTGCTACTGCCTGGACCTCAATAAGCATTTTCTGCTCTTTCCTATCACTACTGTCTTCCCTTTCTTTGAGAAGCAACATAAAGATAAAAAGAAAAATACTTGATTTTGTAGCATGCCAGAATATTAAGATGCTCCTGAAAAGTGTGGGATTTAAGGCTTCTCAAAAAAGAGCAGAGGAGGGAGTGAGAGAAGAAGACGGAGAAGGAGGAGAAGGGGAAGAGAAAGGGGAGGTGGAAGAAGAAAAAACCACCATCAGAAACTGAGTATTACACAGGACGTAACCTGTGCTCTGAGAGTGAAGGAGGCCACACAGCAGTAGAACCCCGACAGGAAAATCAGAAAACATTATATTTTTTCCCAGATCCCAGAGTATCAGATGTTCCATTCAGAAATAATCCCTATTGACCCAGTCTCTGTGTCTCTCTCTCTGCCAATAGCATCAAGCACAGTAACCCTTTCCATGCTAATCCCGTTATTAATGCCATCCACAACAAGCGTAGTGTAAGTAAGACACGAAGTGTAAAAAAACTTTCTTCCCCGCAGTCCGGGCTCTCAGAGCCCTCCTTGTAGGTCAACAGTATCAAAGGTGCTTAACGCAGATACACCAGGAGGCTCAAAGCCCAAACATCGAAAAAAAAAAAAAGACCCACTCTTGTGCTGTGTGTATTGCCCACGGGTGGGAGGATGCAAGTACAATTACGTTTTTTAAAACTCCAGTCCAGATATTGGCTTTTCCTTGGATACTTTTGTGTGGCTCTCCCAGTACAGTCAGATCCGCCGCCGCAGCCTAGCGCTCCACCCCGGGTTTTGCGTCCTCCCCTCACCTGCCTTTCAGTGGTGCGGGGTTTGATCCCGAGAGCGGTGGACTCAAAGCTGCCCGCCGGGACTCGGGCTGCCGGCCGACAAAGGACGGTCCTCGGGGGTTCTGAAGTCTGACCCGGCCAGTGGGAAAGCCACCTGCATCACAAAGCGAGGGGCACACCTGAACCGGGGCTGGCGGGAAGAGGCAAGTATTGCGCGCGGGCTGGCTCCCACATGGAGCTGCCTCCCGGTGCAAGTGTTGCAAGGGTGCGCTGCTCCAGCCCGGGGAGCGCGGGAGGCGGCGGAGAGAGCGTCCGGGTGATGAGCGGGGCACTGTAACTGGATTTTAACACCTCTGCAAGCAGCGCTTTTGGTCAAAAAATTTCCGATTCTTGATCTTCTCTCTGCAAGGTCGGGGGTTCTTTGGGGAGTAAATCACAGCGTTTGGGTTTGCATTCGAAGCACTACCAAGTCTACTCCACAGGGTCACTGCACGGGGAGCAAGTAAAGGAAAACGAGGAGAATCTGAGAGTGCTCCTTCGTGCAGTGTGTGTGTGTGTGTGTGTGTGTGTGTGTGTGTGTAGGCAAAGCTGAGATTTACATGGTGTGAACTGTTAAATGTTAACAGTTAAATCCCACACTTTTCAGGAGCATCTTAATATTCTGGCATGCTATAAAATTTTTGAGACTTGTTTAAAGAAGGGGACTTCCTTTTTAATTTAGAACAAATTAGTAGTTGTTATAACATTATAGATACTAATCAGTAACAATACTAGTAGGTAATGCTTTCTGTAAGTAGACACACCCCAAAAGTATCTGAAAAGTATCACCAAAACGGAGCGTGCTTTCACACTCCTGCAAAACAAATTAGCCCTTAAACAGAATAATTAACATCCCGAGGGAAGATAAAGCATATAGGTTCCTTGAATCATTACGTTACATTTAAAGTCGGTCCTGTTCAGTTTGCCTTTGTCCCTAAGGAGTAAAAATAGCATCAAATTGCTTGTTTGGTTTTCCCCTTTTGAAACTCAGCATAGTGTTTGGTTATCCATGAAGGTGGCTTTAATATTTCACCCTCATATTTGGCAGACAGTTCTGGACTTGCTCCTCTCCCCGTAGGGACTGAGTCCCACTGGCAGTGTGTGGAGAATAGAATTGATTCTCGCTTTTTCTTTGCATAATACCTAATCATCACCATTAGCACTTCAGACGTTCACAGCTTTCTGAATAGGTGTCATTTCTTCCACATACCCTATTGATTTGCATCATTAACAATTGAAAGGAAGCTCTTCTTTTGATTAAGAAGCCAAACAATTAGGAAAGCGTGGATTCTTTCATAGTATTTATTGAGAGGCGTCTCCACCTGATCTAGGCTGTGTTTAATGGGATGAGAGAGACTAAGAGAGAACAGAAAGTGTAATTACCGCCTCTCCAGGCCCGTCTTTACTTTTTCCAGAAACAGAGAATTATGAAATTATTTGTAATGTTACAAGGACCCTTGGAGCTCTTCTAGTGCAAGTCAAGTTTATTTCACAAACGGGAGGTCTAGACAGCCTTTGTTTCTTCTGAACGGGTCTGCAAGGCCAAGATCTGGATTCTGACCCACAGCGACTGCTGATCCAGGAATTCCATGCACATATGCTATGCACTTAGCGCTGATTGTGAAGAAACACCAAGGTGGCCCGTCAAGACCTGAACTACCACAGGTCTAACTTGGGAAAGCCTCATTCCTCACGTTCTTTCCGCTTCTACTGTAATGGTACTGTGCCTCTTGCCAGCCCACACTTATTCATTTGAAATGTGCACTTTGGAAGTTCACTGCATTTAATCGATTCAGAGGATTTCTTTTTTTTTTAATTTTTTTTTTAATCAGTAGCTGAGCTATACTACCTAGTTCTAATCCGTAATAGTGTGTTAAAAGACTGTTTTCTGTGTAGTTGCTGGCTGTTATTTAAATCCCAAGGCTGCTGAAAGTTGGTAATAGAACCAATAATAGCAACCATTACTCAAAAGTCTATTGCTTACTATTAACTATAATAATTAACTATTAAGTATTGATATTGTCCCCATCAATTTTTAGGCGTTACCTAACATTATCCCCATTTTACAGATCAGAAAACGGAGGCTTCAGAAAGGTGAAGTTACTAGCCCAATGTCACTCACCTTCTAAGGTGGGGAGCAGAAGCCAGGTTGGTCTGACCCCTAAGCTCATGGTCTTTCTATACTACCTTAGTAGTATAGAAATGTTCTAACTTTCACATTCCCGGATGTCTGAGCTCAAGACAAATTTTAAATAAATTAGCGTGGCTTTGATGTTCTCTCACTAGTGAAAGGGTCTATAACACTTTAGGCAAAATGCATTGAAATTATGTTAAACCTTCATACACTGCCAATAAGCAATGACTTCCCAGAAACCATACTCCACATTTGACCCAGTCTCTAATTTAGTGAGAAGGTGAGATGCATGGAAAGAAGGCAAAGGAGAGTGACTAGTGACCCCCAGAAAAGGGAATCTCTTCCCGAGGTTTGTGTTGTGCCCTGTGGAGCTGAGAGGAGAGTAGGGAATTGATGGAGCAGAGGCTTAGCCAACGCATCTGAAAGAGAAGAGTGTTTTATGTCTTTAATTTCTTCTTGTCAGAATCAACCAAGCCCAGAGCTATTTACGTGTTGAGAAGGGTCTCCCATGGAGAGGCCTTCCCAGTGGCCCTTCTACTCTCTGCTGCGGTGGTTTATCATGTCTTCAAAACAGACTCGCCACCAGGCTTCCAACAGGATAATACAAATGTGAAATTTTTGTCCTCAATAAAGAGTCAGAAATGATGACCATTCTGCCACTTTCATCATTTTAAAATCTGTATTCCTGAAAACTGGCCTCGAATTTATTTCTGTATAGTCCAAGGTATTGATTTGAAAGTGAGAGGCTAGCATGAAAGCCAACACTTCTCAACTTTAAAAAAAAATGCCTTAATATTTAGTATTTTCTCATTCTAATGTATCCTGTAAGTGTTCTTTCTGTACTTCTTGTTAAGGCATGGCTGTGTAAACTTCAGAGGGTTTTGGGAACAGCCTCCATTGTCATCCACTTTTCATTCTAAAATCTTGGTATATCTGTGCATACATGCACAAGGCCTCCCATGATTGCACTGCTTTTACGAATAATCATAGTCAAAATTCATTTTTTAATACTGCTAGCTCAATTTTTATTTCTTATTCCTTTGAAATTGATCATCATTTGGACAGGGACTGCATTAAAGCTCAACACTGACCTTCATTGTGGCCACAGGAAGAAAAGATCTGCTAAATGAACAAATACTGTGATCGATATTGTGCAATGGCTTGAGGGAAAAAGGAGGTTTTAACCACTTAAAGTAAGCCCTTTTAGAAACAAAAACTATTTCAGTGAAAATGCTAATCCTACACCTCTCCAAAGTAAATGTGCTTAGAGGACACCAGCCAGAGTTTCTTTACAATGGGAAGTTGCCTTCCAACAAGAAAGGGTTTTCAAAGTGCAGAAGAAAACTTTATCTGGAAAAGGTGAGAAGCAGAGAGCCTCCAGGCTCCAGCCCCACACACTCTCATCTTCAATTAATACTCCACAAAGGGAAAGTTCCATTGTGGGCCACAGCACTCCCTGCTTGAGAACCTGTAGGGACTTAACCGCTGGGTTTATCCAATGAAGTGTCTGAGGTCCCCGCTGTTTAGCTTGGCCCTCCACTCTCTGTTCCCAATTTCGTAACCACTACCTCAGCCAGTCTCCCCAGCAGAGCACTTTTATCTTATAGCCATGAGGCATCTGTGACATGTCCCACAACACATCACAAACTCTATTTGTCCTCCAATGCTCAGTGACCTTATTTTCCCAGGCAAAAGTGGCTCCCGTCCCGGTGCCCACTAAGCCTTGATACCAGCCCACAGTACAGTGCTTCTCAGACTAGGTCGTCTCAGCATTTGTCAATGTATTTTATTTATGTTTCGACGTCCAGTCTGTTCATCTTCAGTACAGGACTGGGTCATACTCATCTTTCCATCCTTTCCCTTGTCCACCTTCCTTTCTTCGATTTGAATATTTTCTGTAGTTGCTCCATTAATCAGTAATTAATTAATTGCAGAAATGTATTTCCCAAGATGTAGATAAGTCACACCTCAGAATGCTACAAACATTTGTAGATGTGACTGATCAGTAATTGTCAGGAGACTTTGTCAATCTGGAGAGGTGCTGAAAAACAGAGACAAGAAAATGTCAACTTTCAAAAATACTCATTTAAAAAAGTAGTTTCCAAGAAAAGCGTAGACTGGCAAAAGGATGATTGACAAAATTCTGGACTAGATTACTAAATAGGTGATATGTGAGAATTTAGAGGAGAATCGTGTGATTTGCATAATCCAACATGAGTTCCCCGGAATCAAGCCATCCCATGTGAACCATATATCTCTTTTATATATAGGTTCTGAAACTGGTGAAATGGGGACCACTTGAGGTTAGAGATTCGTAATTCAGTGTTGCCTCTGATCAGCCTGGAATTGTAGTTTATATGCCAGCAACTGCATGTAGCCTGAGGGCTCCCATGACTGGGCTACAGCCAATTGATCACAATCTAATGATACCCCTAGGAGTGCCTTGGGTGAGAGCGTTGTCCGGGGCAAACCTTATGAAACTTTGTCAGATGGTCTTCACACAGCATTTCTTGATTTTAGCAGAGCCTTTGACTCAGTCTCTCCTAGCAGATTTTTTCACTTACTCCACAGATATTTATTTAGGTGTTTATTCAGTGTCAAGCATTGTATTAGGTGTTCAGTGTTTGTGGCTCAGAAGCAAATTCTGACTTAGTTGATAATATGGAGAGCAAAACCGAGTCAAAAATTGATTGCCTGAAATTATCTTTGGAACTGCAGGAAGTCAATCGATTGATGAATTCATGTGTGTCCGGGTCTCTGGGGTACACTGTGTGCTCCCCCATTCACTCCAGTCCCTGCTCAGAGTCCTTCTCCAATCACCTCCTCTATAAAAGCACCTTGCCCCATCATTTCCTATTCCCTCATGCTGTTTTATTTTTCATCTTTGCACATTTTATTCTCTGCAATGATCTTATTCACACAAGCAGTCCTGTAGTTGCCTGCTCTCTGCCCCCTTGCTTGGAATGTGGTATGAATCTAGGGAGGCATTTCACAGGGCTGGGTCTTTTGTTCCTTGCCGTCCATTCAATATGTCTATCAGTGACAATTGTTGTCATTCCTGCTAATCTAATTTGCAGATGATAGAAAGTGAGGAGGCAGAGCTGGCATGGTAAATAAGGGGATCAAAATGTACATCAGCAGCATATGTGAAAGCACTTTGATAATTGAAGAATTATAATTAAATGCAAGTTATCATTTTTTAAGTGCGTATAAATCTAAGCCAAAACCAATAAAATGAAAGTATCAAGGTTAAATATAAGCTCATGCATTTAGGTTCAAAAAATCAATTACACAAATTCAAAATAAAGGAGACCTAAGAGGGCAGCACAGTCCATGCCGCGATTTAGCCATGAGCTGGGCGACTCTAGGGCTGCAACACAGTCCCCGAGTGGTGGAGCCATGGCTGGAAATTCTTCGAATGTTATCAGTTAGGAGGGCCACATGGTGAGGTGGACATTACCAAGCCCGAGTGTGGCCAGTGGAGGGTCACTCAGAACAGCAGCAGGAATTGGGACGTTTAGCCTGAAGGAGAGGGGACTTAGGGAGGTGGGGACCCATCTTTAACTCTCTGCGGGGTTCACATGGAGGAGACGGGCATGTGTGTGCTGAGTGCTAAGTTAGAACCTCTGGGTCCTGGGGGGCAGACTTTCATTCAAGGTACGGAGAATGATGGGAGCCCAGGGCCAGAAGCCTATAACCCACAGCATCTGGACGAATACTGAGCGCTGTCACTAGATTCTATTTTTATTTGTTTGTTTGTTTGTTTGTTTATTTTTTGAGACAGAGCCTTGCTCTGTCACCCAGGCTGGAGTACAGTGACGCAATCTCAGCTCACTGCAACCTCTGCCTCCCAGGTTCAAGCAATTCTCCTGCCTCAGCCTCCTGAGTAGCTGGGACTACAGGCACCCGCCACCATGCCCGACTCATTTTTTGTATTTTTACTATTTTACTCTACTATTTTAGAAGAGATGGGGTTTCGCTATGTTGGCCAGGCTGGTCTCGAACCCCTGACCTCGTGATTCGCCCATCTCGGCCTCCCAAAGTGCTGGGATTACAGGCGTGAGCCACCGTGCCCGGCCGTCACTAGATATTTAAAGAGAAACTGGACAACTGTGGGGCAGAGGCCAGCTCTTAAGAGGGATCCTGGCTTTGGGTTGGATCTTCAATTGTCTTTGTTCTTTGTCTTTCCAAGTCTAACATTCTTATCTGTTCTAAACTTCCGTATTTTTATTTGTTCTGACTGATTTTTTTTTCTTGGTGTGACATTTGATGTAAATAGTACTTAGCAGGCTTAGCAACTCCTATATGAAAGTGCTTTGAAATTTGCTGGGCTTTGGAATCTCTGTTGTTTTTGCCCATTAAGTAATTCCCTCCCATCCCTCTTCAATGTTCCCCTTTCCCTATCAACCAGCCCTTTCTGCAGGTTGGAGTTTGATAGACTTGGCACTTGGCACACCCCCTGAGCGCCAGTGTCACCCTCTGCGTTGTGAATTTATAGATGGAGACCCCTTCATCCTTTTACAGTCGTGCTCTGATCCTGGGGTCCCTGAGGTCCAGAGCAGAACCTGAACTCTGAGTATCAGGCAAGCGCATCTTACTTCAAAAAATGGGAAGAACAATTTAAAAATGCAACTTGGATATGTTTTTATAAGATATTCCCGCTTTCTGTTTTCTACACTTATTTAGCATTTTAACATTTTCAGAATACGTGAAAATTAGATTTAGTTTCTTTTTTAAATGTGAAATATAAGAAAATTATGATTACCCGTAACACATTTGTGATTAAAAGTACATTTTTTAGGAAAAAAGTATTGTTTCCAGGGAACAATTTTCTATTAAGTTGGTGCAGTAATGATTGCGATTTTTGCCATTGAAAGTAATGCTTAGGCCGGGTGCGGTGGCTCATGCCTTTAATCCCAGCACTTTGGGAGGCCAAGGCAGGCGGATCACCTGAGGTCAGGAGTTCGAGACCAGCCCGGCCAACATGGTGAAACCCCATCTCTACTAAAAATACAAAAATTAGCCAGGTGTGGTGGCAGGCACCTATAATCCCAGCTACCTGGGAGGCTGAGGCAGGAGAATTGCTTGAACCTGGGAGGCGGAGGTTGCAGTTAGCCAAGACCGAGCCATTGCACTCCAGCCTGGGCAACAAGAGTGAAACTCCATCTTTAAAAAAAAAAAAAAAAAAAAAAAAATTAATGGTTAAAACCACAATTACTTTTGCACCAACCTAATACTTAGAAAGATGCAATAATACTAGATGGTTACCTTTAACTTACAGGTTTCGGGTTTCACAGAAACAACAGCAAACCCAATAGTGCTTCACTCAGTTTCCCTCCCAAAGACAGCAAAGAGAGAAAATTAACTACCTGGCCAGGCGCAGTGGCTCACGCCTGTAATCCCAGCACTTTGGGAGGCCGAGGCTGGAGGATCACCTGAGGTCAGGAGTTTGAGACCAGCCTGGCCAACATGGTGAAACCCCGTCTCTACTAAAAATACAAAAATTAGCCAGGCATGGTGGTGGGTGCCTGTAATCCCAGCTACTTGGGAGGCTGAGGCAGGAGAATCGCCTGAACCCGGGAAGTGGAGATTACAGTGAGCTGAGATTGCACCACTACACTTCAGCCTGGGTGACAGAGTGAGACTCCGTCTCAAAAAAAAAAAAAAGAGAAAACAAAAAACCAACTATCTAAGGCAGAATGGTAATAAACTGCCCAGTAATGCTTTCAGGGATAATTAAATGAGTGATGAGGGCACAATTACAAATAAGCTAACCCGAGTTACTTGGAAAGCAGATGGAAGCACCCAAGACCATACAACAAGAATGAAACCCCAGAACAGTAAACACACGGTATTCCTACCATATATGCCCCCCATCGGTGTCACCTAAACCAACATCTCTTTGACCTTTTTTTTACTCATGTGACCAGTTATTTGATTGTTTGGCTGTCAAAGTCACACCAAGATAATAAATTAGGCCTTTCAGAGCCAAAATTATATTATCTAGGGTATTACAGTGAATATAGAGTTAAATAATTTTAGTGTCCTGAAAACATTACAAAACACATATCAGAAATAAGAGCCATTCTATGTAGTGAATCGGGGGAGAAATGAGAGAAGCTCAGAGACCAACATAGAGAAAAGCAGGAGAAAGCAGAAAGCACTGGAAACAAACATGTCTGCTTGTTGGTGGTGGGCGATGGATACAAAGATACCCAGCCAGAATCCCCCTGGAACAAGCCAGGCATTAAATCTTTACAGCTGGAGTTGCATTAAATCTTTACAGCTCTAAGCTGCTTGCTGCAAACATCCTGTAGTTCTCGTCAATTCAAACTCATCCCCAACTTTCTTTTTTTTTCTACCTTACTCAGTGCGTCTGTGTCTGGGTGAACTTCAGAAATCTCTCTCTTACGTTTTCTTGCAAGACTCTTTGGCTAGTTTTATCTGAAAGTTTGTTTGTTTTTCCAGCTAGTAGTTCTTCCCCCTCTTCCCTAAGCTCTTGAAGTCTAACACTGTTTCTCTGGTCAGAGGGATCAGACAAAGAGAGCTCTGCTCCCGGCCACCCATCCGTCTCATTGATTCAAGCCACTGGGTCTGAGTGGGCCCCATCAGAGGGTGTGATGGGTTCCAGACAACCTGGACGTGCTTTTAGAAAGCAGTCAAGAGTAAATCCATAAAGCCTTATCTTTGTGTTGGAGGGGACCACATTATAAGCAAATCGTACATTTTCTTCCAATACAAAGTAAGATAGTTTCCTGCATTATTAGTGGATATTTTTGCAAGGACATATTTAAAAATATATATTGCCCAATAACCCATCATTCAGTTTAATTCCACATCCCTGCTGGGTGCCTTCCAGTCTACCTTGGGCAACTTAACATAAATATGGAAAATATAGTTTGTGTTTATGGAGCTCATCGCCCTATGAGAGAGGCCAGGCCCTCACGGAGGACGAGGTGACAGCGTGGGCACAGCCAGCTCTTGAAGAATATCATAGGTGATGAATGCTCTAGAGATCCCAAGGCCAAAGCGGCTCAGGCACACGTCATTCATTTGTTTGTAAGCACCGTCAAGGCAAAGAGACCAGGCATCTGTCTTTCATACCCCAGCCACACCCCCTGAAGCAGAGTAGATAATAGATGCTTACAAGACAGCGAGTGATTTCATCTCAGTATGTATGAACAGCTTCAATCACACAGATTTTGGGCAGATTCACTACCTAATCGGATGCGAGACTTTTCATTTCTTCTGACCTATATTAGTAAACAGCAATATAATCTTTTCTAATTACAGACACATAAAATGATTGATAAAATCCAACAATTGTATGACCCCTCCACAAAGCATTTTTTACATTCAAGCCTCACACCAGCCCCTGGAAATAGATATTATTTTTAATCTTAATTCATCCAGCATTGTGCTGGGTGCTGGGGATAGATAGGCCAGGGAAGAAAGATTCGAAGCCCCTGCTTTTATGGAGCTGACTTGCTGGTGAGAAAAAAATAAATAAATAAAACAGCAAACAAGAACAAACAAATACATCAATAATTTAAGTCATTGTTAAATACGATGAAAAAAATGGTAGTATGATAGAGAGTGATCAAGGGAGGAAGTGAGATCTCTAGAGTGGATTTGAAGGAACCAGATCTAAAGACAGGGGGTTCCAGTTAAAGGTATAATAGGAGTGTCCAACCTTTCGGCTTTCCTGGGCCACATTGGAAGAAGAATTGTTTTGGGCCACACGTAAAACACACTAACACTAACGGTAGCTAATGAGCTTTAAAAATTGCAAAAAAAATCTCTCTTTTTTTTTTTTGAGACAGAGTCTCACTCTGTCGCCCGGGCTGGAGTGCAGTGGCGCTATCTCGGCTCACTGCAAGCTTTGCCTCCCAGGTTCACGCCATTCTCCTGCCTCAGTCTCCCGAGTAGCTGGGACTACAGGCACCCGTCACCATGCCCGGCTAATTTTTTGTATTTTTAGTAGAGATGGGGTTTCACTGCGTTAGACAGGATGGTCTCGATCTCCTGACCTCGTGATCCGCCCGTCTCAGCCTCCCAAAGTGCTGGGATTACAGGCGTGAGCCACCGCGCCAGGCCAAAATCTCATGATGTTTTAAGAAAGTTTACAAATTTTTGTTTACAAAGCCATCCTGGACCGCATAAAGCCTGCAGGCCATGGGTTGAACAAGTTTGGTATAGCAGGACCAAAGACCCTGAGGTCAGACAAGGCCGGCATTTACCTGAACAGAAGGAAACCTTGATAAATAGAATGAATGGGGAGGAGAAAAGTAGAAGCTGAGGTCATAGAGGAGGCAGTGGCCAATTTAGCGAGAGGGCCTCACAGGCCAAGGGCAAGGGGTTTGAAGTTTATTATGAGTTGATGGGAGGTCAGTGGAGGGCTTTGATGTATCATTTTGGCCTCTGTGGATGATGGATGGTGGGGAGACCATGAGTGGAGGCAGGGAGGCTAGCAGGGAGGCCACTGCTGGAGTTTAGTGGAGAGATATGGTGGCTTTAATGAGAACATAATTGAAGGTACAAAAATGGGCAGATTGAAGATGTATTTGGGAGGCACAGCTAAGACTATCTGCGGATGTATTCGGTGTGGGGAATGTGGAAGAGAGAGGCTCAAATTCCCAATTTATGGTTGAAACTGACACTCAAAGGGATTAAGGAATTTCTGTCTACAGCCGCAAATACAGGGCAGGCAAGGACTCCAGGCTGGTTCTCTAATTCCCAAATGACAGCTCTTCTCATTCTTGCATGAGGATATGAGGTTTGCAGAAAGAAGGGATTCATGAGTAGTAAGTCCTCTTAATCCTCCTAGTATGGATCTAATGATTTTTTGAGGTCATGCGTAGTAAACAATGTGTAATATCCATTCAACTAGTCAGCTGATTTGTGGTTACTTGCAATAAGTCATTATTTTCAATGGGGTCGATAATACTGTCTCTGACACTAGGTGTTTGTAACCACAAAGTGCACTTCAGTTGAATTCCTTTCCGAGGTTGTTTTATGTTCAGAACCAACCTTTCGTAGTTATATCATTAGTTATTAGAGGGATACCAGGCAACAGATCGAGTTTATTTCTTGTAAGCGTTCTTGTTGCAGTCATATATTTCGTGGTTTCATTAAATCGGCCTTGGTAGACAAGCTGTTCTTTCAAATCCCTCTGTGAGCAGCAAATGCTGTGGATTGAGATCTGTATTCTCCAGATGATTTGCTAAGTCATCTCAGAAGAGTCCTCTGAACTGTGAGGTGTCCCCAGCCCTTTTGTCCCAGATCCAAGAACCAAAAAAAGAACTTGAAATGGGGATCCTGCTGATTGTGCCTACACTTGTTCATTCATTTCATAAATACTTACTGGGCCCTCCAGTGCACACCAGGCACTGTTCCAGGTGCTGGAGAGATACAAGCGAGCGAGAGAGGTCAGGCTGCTGCCTTCAGGGGGCTTCTTATTCGTGGGCAAAACAAGCATGACAAATGGGCAAACAAGATTATCACAGTTTAATACGTGATAAGTTGGTCAGGTAAGGCCTGATAAGGCAACTTATCACGTATCAAGGTTTTGGCCTCTGTGGATGATGGATGGTGGGAAGACCATGAGTGGAGGTAGGGAGGCTAGTGGGGAGGCCACTGCTAGAGTTCAGTGGAGAGATATGACCAACTTGGTTAAGTTGGTCAGGTAAGGCCTCCTCAAGGACACGGCACTTAAGCAGGAGGCTGGAAGTATAACAAAGCAGCTATGAGAGGAGCTGGGGAAATGCATCCCAGGGAGTGGGAACAGCGAGGACAGAGCCCTAAGGAAAGTGTGGTGCATTGTTTAGTACCCTGTTGGCTGCTATAATAGAGAAACCCAGGCCAGGCACAGTGGCTCATCCCTGTAATCCCAGTACTTTGGGAGGCCGAGGTGGGCAGATCACGAGGTCAGGAGTTCAAGACCAGCCTGACCAACATGGTGAAACCCCATCTCTACTAAAAATACAAAAATTAGCTGGGCGTGGTGGTGTGTGCCTGCAATCCCACCTACTCAGGAGGCTATGGCAGGAGAATCACTTGAACCCAGGAGCCGGAGGTTGCAGTGAGCCGAGATCACGCCTCTGCACTCCAGCCTGGGCAACAGAGTGAGACTCTGTCTCACAAAAAAAAAAAAAAAATAGAAACCGAGACTCACAGGGGTTTAAGCAAGATGGATATTTATTTTTCTGTCACTTAATAGCATGGGTGGACAGTTCAGGACTGATGAGATAGCTCTGCAATATTTTGGGACCCAGACTCTGCTGTGCTACAATCTGGCATTCTCAATATGTGACCCCTACCTCATGGTCCAAGAAGGCTTCTCCACTCCTGCCATCACACCTACTTCCCGGCCATTCAGAAGGGGAGAGGGGAAGAGACGGCCTCTTCCCTATGTAGAGGCATAATATCCAGAATTTGTGCGTATCTTCTCCAAAGGAGATGGAATCAGATAAGTGTGTGGTAGGCAGGTCATTCGGGACCATGTAGATCATGATAGGATATTGCGTTTTATTCCAAGAGCAGCTGGATGCCGCTGAAGGGTTTTAAGTAGTGAAGTGACATGGTCTGATTTATGTTTTTACAAGAACACTCTGGCTGCTGAGTGGAGGATGGATGAGTGGAGGATGGATGACAGAAGGGCAAAAGTGGAAATGGAAGATCATTTAGGAAGCTGTGATCTTAAGGAGCAAGGCAAGGTGGACTCAGACACTGAGACATCATATAATTGTAGCTTTAGAGTATTAACTGTTTAAAGAGACAATGAGTAAAGACTGAATGTTCATGCACCTCTTTCTAAAATACAGGGACAGCCTTTGCGTGGACAACTTACTGGATGAGCAGGTTTAAGGAATTGTATCCTATAAAAGATAGACGTGAAACCAGCCAATGTGAATGTGCCGCCAAATTGGACCTGGTTATATTTGTGGGGACCCTTAACTTAGGAATATAGAAAGCACATGAAAGTGCCTGTCAAGCTAGAGCCCTGGGCAGGGGCAGGCTCAGTCTCCCAGGAGGTTAGAGCTGGAGGCCCTCTGAGCTCATGGATTCAACCCTTGTGCTGCAGGTGGAGAAACTGATGGTAGGAGTATGGGGGGCTGTGGCTTGCCCAAGTTCAACTTTGGACAGTTGCAGAATCAAGGCAGGAAGCCAGGACTGGAAGCCGCCACTCTCACCATGCACCGTGAGGGGGTATCCTTGATGGGATGCTTTCTCCTGAATCACACATTTACCTTTTGGCCTCCTTTGCCAGCACCTCCCTTAGAACAAGTTCCCTTCTTTACCTTTCCCCAAAGTCCCCTGGCCTGTACCTCAAGTGATTCCATCAGTTACCTTGTCTTCCAAACAGGACTGGCCAGATGACGATGGTAAAGTGATTTTGAGAGATTATAACTCACGTTTGCTGAAATGTTTTGAAGTTTCAAGACAGTAGTATGCACTGTGAATGCCAGTGTTGCTCAAGATCCTAGAGACAGCCCTGGGTCCTGGAGCCCCGGCAGCCTGCTCCAAGGTCAACAGGCGGGGCCCCGGCAATTGTTTGGGGACCATTTTCACAACCTTAAGGTAATTTGTGGTTCCTCTGAGAATGCCCACTGAAGTGTTCCCCCTCAGAATGCTGTGGATGGGAGATAGAAGGAAACAAAAGAGGAGGAAGCAGTGAGGATTTTACTGGATACTGCAGATGCACTTCCACATCGGCATGGGTTCATACTGGATTATGCAAAAGTATGGATTCTGGAATGATTCATTCCCCCCAAAACCTGGAACTCGAGGGCAGCATGCTGCCTCGTTGTCCATAAAACACTCCCTTTTGTCTCTGCAGGGATCTTAAAAAAACAAAGCAAGCTTTACTGTGGCAAAACCTCCTCTACATATTATCATTGTCTGATTGGATTTTAAGCACAATGCTATCTTGGTCTACACATTTTCTTATACAAGTGACAGTAATACTAAAAATCTCAGAATTATTATCAAGAGCCTTTTGGTAGGGTGAAAGTTTCTTTTAAGTATTTTCATTTTCAGGAGTGAGTTTTCACACACACACACACGCACACACAAGTATCAGGAAACAAAAAGGAAATGTGTGCAAACTTCCAATTTAAATGTTCTACATCTTAGTTGAGATGGCTATGATACAGATACATGTATTTGGCAAAACTCATCAAACTAGGCATTTAAAATAAGTACATTTTTGGGGTACAAATTATACCTCAATGAAGTTGATTCAAAAAGTCAAAAGTAAACCAAAAATTCCAATTTTATATTCCATTAATAAGTTTTTGGTGTCTGCTTCTGGTTTTATTACCGAGGATTCTCATTTGAGTACACTCAGAATGGAACAGAGCTATTATCATCGAACGTTTCCTATACTGGGACTAAAGTCTGGCCAGGAAATTAACTTTTAACCCTAACTTTGTGCTATTTTGAGATAAAAGAAATGCACACCTCAGAACAGCAAGGTGTTACAGCACATAACTGCCTGTACAATTTAAAAACTCGATAAACCCAAAGCTTTGGTAGCAAGTCTTAGCAGGTGCTGAGAAATACGAAACGATTAATTTTTTTTTTTTTTTTTTTTTTTTTTTGTAAACCAGAAAACAAGTCTGGTGTTAAGCCTGTTGTGCAAATACTAGCATTAAATATTTTGTAGCATATCTTAGTTCCAAGTATTTCTTTTCTGTCACATTTTTCTGGTTCCTCCTGATAATCAAGGCAATATTCTTTGAACTGTTTCCTTAGAAAAGTTGTTGAAATGACCAAATTTCTAATTCCATTGGGATTTGGACACATTTCTGAAATGGCCCAGAAATCATTTTGGGGAGCCCTTAGGCTGCTGTTCCAATCCAGCACATAGGTGTGACAGCGGAGACCCACTCGGACTTCAGGGACTGCCTGCCTCCTCCCTCCACACCCATCTCCTGTCTCCCCAGGACCTGTCCTCAGGAGCTCAAAAGAAGAGGGGTCTTGGTCCTGAGAGGGTGAGGGGGCGACCGGGAGGAAGCACTTCCTCTCTGTTTCTTAAGACATCTCCCTTCCCTGGGACAACTTCCCTAAAAGGCTTTCTTTTTTTTTTTTTAACCACTTTTCCAAAGTCAGAAATGAATACATTCTGAAAATAACCCAACTTTCTTTTTATGTTTCTTTCTTTCCACCCCCACCTCAAGCCCCTAGAATGGCCAGCCCACCTGGCTAGCAAGAACTTACCTTCCTGAGCATGCCTGGGGACAGACCCTAGCACACACCCCACCCTGGGCTCGTGGCGGGACTCTGGCTCTGGCCAACATGGAGATCCCAGCCACACACTGATTTGGAGGCCTGAGTGTCAATGACAAAAGCAATCCAAACCCAAAACTCTCAAAATTGATTAAACAATGGAAAGCTTGGCTTTACATGAGATGTGTGGAAAGCATCCTGCATCCAGGTACTCACTGGAAGGCAGAAATTTAGCAGATGTTGCTATTATTATCCTTAGGGTTAATCATAGTGATTCCTGACTTACAGAATCCAAATAAAGGAAATCCACTTCATGCATCAGCCGCCAGCTGCTTTTTTTTTTTTTTTTTTTTTTTTTTTTTTTTTGAGACGGAGTCTTGCTCTGTCGCCCAGGCTGGAGTGCAGTGGTGCGATCTCGGCTCACTACAAGCTCCGCCTCCCAGGTTCACGCCATTCTCCTGCCTCAGCCTCCGGAGTAAGCCCCCAGCTGCTCTTTGTGGACACTCATTGCCCAGACCCCCACTATGGTCGATCAGTATTAATTGCATTAACAGATTTAATTATAAAATTATTTCAACTGCCTGTTTTTTTCTGTCTTCCATTCTGTGTTATAATAGTTTGCCAGGTTAGCTCCAAACACTTAATGTCTGTTACTTACTCAATATAATCCCACCCAGTACATCACCTTTACTGGGAAAGAAGCTTGTTAATCTCTGTTTACCAGTCTGCTCCCAGTTATTCAAGGACTCTCTGAACCTAAAATGTATAATATGACCTAGGTCAGAATGGCGTTCCCATAAGTGAGCACCAACAGTACGCAGCGGCTGACACGTGTGAATCCATCTCTTGTTCCCTTGAACTGTGAATCAACATGGATGTAGCCATAGTCATATCTATCACCTTTTGTGAGAAAAATTTTACTTTGAAAACAAAGTAATAGACTGTACAGTTAAAGGACAGCAGAATCCAGCAAAGGTCTGTCTGTATCACAAAGGAAAGCCACATCATGTGCTTTATTCCCATCATCAGTCAACATCCATTTTTTGTAGCTCTGGGAACCTAGGTGTCTGAGAGCCAGCGCTGCGTATTGGTAGCACTGGTTCTGCCATCTCTAAGCCCCAGGACAAGTATCCTAACAGAACTAAGCCCTGGCTTCCTCATCTGTAATAAAATAAGTACCTTCTAGTATTCTTATTTTATTGTGAAAAGACAATTCTGTGCACATATGGTTACACACACATAGACTATAATGACACTTGCATTTTATTGGTATTCACAACTTTTAAAAATTTTCCTATTTAAGACACAGCTTAAAATAATTAAAAAGAAATCATCACATAGTTATTACTGAAGATTTGCTTCTATGTTCCATAAAACATGGTTTTAAAATATAAAAAAAAGACACAGCATTGATTTCCTTCAATCTGCACTTTTTTTCCCATTTTGCTCAGCACACAACCTTTTAACTCACTCTTAAAAAAAATCCACCATAAAGGACTGGAAATTAAGAGAAGGGTGTTATATAAAAAATGCCATGTGTGCTCTGACTTACAAAGTCTTCTTCAGTCCATGAACTCACAGACAGTGTCAGCCACTGAGAGTGTCGTCGTCAAAACGAATAATAGATGTGGAAAGCCGTGGCTCCTGCTCCTGAGAGCTGGACGCCTCTTGGCTGACCTCCTGCTTGAGCCAGATCCAAGAGGTGAAGGCTGAAGCAAGAGAGCTCCCTTGAGAAAGCTCCAGAGTTTGTAGCCTACTAAACCAGCAGTGTCCTATATTACATTAATTCTCCTGATGTATTTTCCTGACATTTGTCAGCATTTCCTTCTATTTGCCAAACATGGACAAAGAGAAAACCAGGTTTTAGAAGTATGCTCATTTATAAAGTCTCTCCTGAGTCCTCACCTTTCCATCCCTTCTGCCATCACCTCAGTCAGACCCTTACCCCATCACTCAAGACAGCTGTAAGTCTCCTGGCTTGACACTTCGCTTCAATCTCACTCATCTCTGATTAAAATTGTCCCATGATCGAAAATTTTATGTTGTTTTCGTCACCATTAAAAAAACAAAAAAACAAAAAAAAAAACCCTTCCTCTTCCAAGATGCTCCAGTGCTTAACAAATCAAGTGTAAACTGATTTGAAGCGTGAGGCCCTGCGTGATATATACTGTAGGAGACCTTTCCAGCTTTATCCAATATCCATCCCTAGTACTTTGCTGTTACCCCATGATATGGTTTGACTGTGTCCCCACCCAAATCTCATCTTGAATTGTAGCTCCCATAATTCCCACATGTCATGGGAGGGACCCAGTGGGACGTAATTGAATCATGGGGGTGGGTCTTTCCTGTGCTGTTGTGATAGTAAATGAGTCTCATGAGATCTGATGGTTTTATAAAGGGGAGTTCCCCTGCATGAGCTCTCTTGCCTGCCACCATGTAAGATGTGATTTTGTTCCTCCTTTGCCTTTGCCTATGATTGTGAGGCCTCCCCAGCCATGTGGAACTGTGAGTCCATTAAACCTCTTTCCTTTATAAATTACCCAGTCTTGGTTATGTCTTTATTAGCAGCATGAGAACAGACTAATACACCACACATGCTCATTGATTTCTTGGTTTTGTGAAAGGCCCATCTCCCTCTC
This sequence comes from Homo sapiens, assembly GCF_000001405.40. NCBI lineage: Eukaryota > Metazoa > Chordata > Mammalia > Primates > Hominidae > Homo > Homo sapiens. Next base: position 148,357,473 of record NC_000007.14, read on the forward strand.
CCATCAGCCTTCTCTTTGCAAATTGTAGCCCCCGTTCAATGATCAGTTCAGTTGGCACTGACACCCACAGGCTTCCCTTGATCCTGTGCCCCAATCTAGATCCATAGCTCTCTCCTCTGGATGTCCTTCATGTGACTGTGCATCATAGCCTTCTGTATTTTGCCTCGGTCAGTGTTTATTCTTGACTATGAGATCCTGCAGGGTATTGTAGTATAACTGTTTCTCTGTGCCTCACAGTGCCAAGCACAGGGCCTTTTGTATAGAGCATACTAATAAAATTTCTGATTCCAACTAAATTCTTGTATGCACACATAGGAAGTGTGACTTAATATATGCATATGGAATCAAAATGATTACTTTATAGTTAGCATGTGTATGTTTGTATGCAGAAAATTCAAAACAAGTATTCAAACAAGCACAAAGTTGTGTAACTAGGAAAAACACATGCTCATTTACTCCTGACCTGTGGGGCCCAGGTTCCAGGCCCTACACTATGTGATGAAGACACAAGACAAGAAAATATGGCACCTTCTTTGAGAAGCTTCCATCTAGTCAGGGAGAAAAACCTGTGATCATATAACTGTAGCAGGCCCTATTACTCCTGACTACACTGGAGAGGCCAAAAGGAGCGTGCCTGGTTCAGCCTAGGGGTGTTCAAGGTGGTCGTATCACTGGCTGAGGGAGTGTCTGAGGGAACACACAGCCAGGGGGCTGGGAGAAGCAGGGTGGGTCAGAGCACAAAGAGACTTGTTCATCATTTCGAGGCGCCTGTGCTTTCTACTAGAGATAGTCACTGAAGCAGAATGAGAGGATCCTACGCAGTTTCAGAAACATCCCCCTGAGGGCCAGGTGGAGGATGAAATGGGGGGAAGAAGGCAAGATGGCGGGCAGCCATGAGACCATGGCAAGAACTCTCAGACTGGAAATGAGGCTGGCTTGAGGGAAATGGGAGACGGGAGCATTTGAGAATGTGGAGATTGCATGAGAAGGGATGGCTTTTGGGTGAGTGAGGATGGCTGGCCTGCCTGTTCACCCGCTGGGAGCCTGGTGAGGTCTCATCCACTTACCATGTTGTCTGGGCTAGAGAGAGGTAGCACCTGTAGAAACCGCAATTAGGGGTCCTATGCTTTTGTTTAACTTTCTGGAAATAGAACAGGCCTCCCTTTTAATACATCTGTTATTCAGCCTTTAGATATTCTGCTTTCAAGCGCGTAATCAGGAATGCATTAGAATAAAGCAGTTAGGAGCAGAGTAACAGAAGGGTTAAAGTATTTAACTTCTCCAGGCCTGTTTCCTCTGTAAAATGAGAAAGAAGATAATAATAGCACCTATTTCACAGAGGAGCTACAAAAATTAAAGAAGTTAATGAATGTAAATTGCTCAGCCTAGGGCCCTGCATAAAATGTGCACTTAAGACATCAGTTACTTTTTTTTCCTGTGTGATTGGTGAGGAAGGTTGAGAAAAGCATGAGGACTCCTTAGCTCTTCCGAAATACAGTCATGTGCTGTGTAAGGACGATTCAGTCAACCACAGACTGTGTGTACAGTGGTGGTCCTATGAGATTATAATATGGTTACTTTTACTGTACCTTTTCTGTTTAACTACCTGTAGATACACAAATACTACCATTGCGTTACAATTGCCTACAGTATTGAGTACAATAACATGCTCTACAGATTTGTAACCTAGGAACCATAGACCTTACCATATAGCCTAAGTGGGTGGTAGGCTCTGCCATCTAGGTTTGTGGAAGTGCATTCTGTGACGTTCCCACAATAACAAAGTTGCCTAACAAGACTCATTTCACAGAGTGTATCCCCATCACTAAGCAACACATAACTAGTACTTGCTACAGTTGCAATATAGGCAAAGCCTCCCTTCTTAAATATAAATAAGCACACTTTTCAATTCGGAGATGTATTTTGTATACTAAATTTGAAGACATTGTTTTGCCTTTTTGTAGGGAGAGCTGGAGATTCTGCTCTTATATCCAGAGTGGCATCCGTGTGACATAGTCATTCTTTGTATGTGTGCCTTTAGCCTATGGGTCATTGTCAGAATTTAGAAATTCAAGGTGCAGCCAGTTACATTGCTAGAGAGATGGAATATTTCAGAGTCTCTGCAAGCTTCCTTTAAGAAAAATGTCTTCTTTTGGAAAGCCATTCAGAAAACATACTCAGTAGGACAGTTTCAACTTATTAAACTTTCAGGAAATTTTTTTAATTGTCTCACACTGTCTCTTTTGCTGTATAAATTTTAACAGCAGGGTAAAGAGAGAAGCGTTCTTGAATTTCACTAGCTGCGGAGAAAATATTTCTCACTGCCCTGGGATACATAGGAAATCACAGTCGTTAGTTTCAGATGTTTAGTTTGGGATATTCAGGTGCATTCACAATACCTTTTGATTCATTATTACTTTAAACCATTTGTGGTTTGATCCTACAAATTGAGGACTTTTCTCCAGATGTGAAAAATACAATAAAATTTTCTAACAGAGGGGATCTCGAGAAGAAGTTATCTTTATTTCTGCAGTTTCTACAAGAGTCCATAAACCCCTTTAGAACATGGCAAAAACTGCAGATTGGCAGCCATGGGTTGGCTGGACTGAAAGGGAAGGGGGCTCACATTTAATTTAGAGCATAAGAATAAGCTAAACAGCAAGGCAGTGACAAATGATACAACAAGCAACAACTCCTAGCTGACTGCTCCGAAATAAACACATGGATTCCAGGCCTCACCTAGACCAAGAACATATTCTGCAACTAAAATTAAACCTTCGGGACATGCAAACTCTTTAGGGAAAGGAGTGGAAGAAGGAGAAGAAGAAGGAACTCAGAGGTTACCAAGCAATTGAGTGGTGAAGAGAACAGGCATGAAGAAAAGAGAACAGGTGTGAAGCAACGAAGGAAATTGCTTCTCCAAATGAAAAGTTTTGAAACACAGCCCTCACCAACCTCAGAAAAATGCTAACTCTGAAATAGGAAATGGAGACGGAATTGGAAATGGAACGTGAGGAATATCAGTAAACCCTTGTAACTGTGCGATCAACTTCTTTGTAAGATTTTTAAACTCAAAAGTAAACACTTTTAAAAACTTAAAAGTGTAAGATTTTAAAGTGGTATAAAGATCTTAATTAGGCATTTAGGTAGTGCATGCTGTGGAGCCCCAAACTTACAGAAGTGACACCAGAAAAAGCCAGAATGATCCCTTTCTGTGTTCCAGTACTTGTGGGAAAAAATTATTTTTATTAATTTGTAAAGGGCTAAAATATTTATGGACTAAATTCAGATGAGTAAAAAGATGAAGGTGTTAGAGTCGCTTTTCTTTCTTTTTTTTCTTTTTCTTTTTTTTTTTTGAGACAGTTTCTCTCTTGTTGCCCAGGCTGGAGTGCAGTGGCGTGATCTTGGCTCACTGCAACCTCTGCCCCCCAGATTCAAGTGATCTCCTGCCTCAGCCTCCCAGGTAGCTGGGATTACAGGCACCCACCACCATACCCAGCTAATTTTTGTATTTTTAGTAGAGACGGGGTTTCACCATGTTGACCAGGCTGGTCTTGAACTCCTAACCTCAGGTGATCACCCACCTCAACCTCTCAAAATGCTGGGATTACAGGCATGAGCCACCATGCCCAGCCTAGAGTTGTTTTAATTTTCTATATCGGGTCTCATCTTGTTCTGAGGCATCCATTTCTATGTTCTTGGTTTGGGTTGAGGGGAGATTGAAGCTTGCACTTAAAGTCAACTAAGTCTCTCATTTAAAAAGTGTTTCTTTTAGGTGAATTCAGTCTCTCTGAGGCAAATACTCAATCTCTCTGCCTTCATATCTCCTTTCCAGAGTGTCAAGGGGCCCGGGATTACACGCAGTCTTCAGGGTCTGTCTTCATCTCCTAGGCTGTCATAACAAAGTACCACAAACTGGGTGGCTTACAGCAATACAGATTTATCCTCTCACAGTTCCGGAGCCCAGAGCTCTGAAATCAGGGTGTCAGTAGGGGTGGGTCCTCTTGGGGACTCAGAGGGGGAACTGTTCTTCTCTTCCAGCTTCTGATCGTTACTGGAAGACCTTGGTTTTTCTGGGCTTGTAGAAGCATAATTTTACTCTCTGCCTGTGTCTCCACCTGCCTTTCTCCCTGTGTGTGTGTCTGCGTCTTCTCTTTTTATAAGGACAACAGTCACTGGGTTAGGGCTTACCTTAACTAAAGATGACCTCATCTTAACTCGACCATTGTATTAGTCCGTTCTCACGCTGCTATGAAGAAATGCCCAAGACTGGGTAATTTGTAAAGAAAAGAGGTTTAATTGACTCACAGTTCTGCATGGCTGGGGAGTCCTCAGGAAACATACAATCATGGCAGAAGGCAACTCTTCACAGGGCGGCAGGAGAGAGAGAATGAGTGCCAGCAGGGGAAATGCCAGACGCTTATAAAACCATCAGATCGGCCGGGCACGGTGGCTCACGCCTGTAATCCCAGCACGCCTGTAATCCCAGCACTTTGGGAGGCCAAGGCGAGCAGATCATGAAGTTAGGGGTTCGAGACCAGCCTAGCCAATACAGTGAAACCTGTCTCTACTAAAAATACAAAAAAACTAGCTGGGCATGGTAGTGCGTGCCTGTAGTCTCAGCTACTTGGGAGGCTGAGGTAGGAGAATCACTTGAACCTAGGAGGCAGAGGTTGCAGTGAGCTAAGATTGACTCTAGCCTGGGCAATAGAGGGAGACTCCATCTAAAAAAAAAAACAAAAAACAAAACCCATCAGATCTCATGAGAACTCACTATCACGAGAACAGCATGGGGGAAACCACCCCCATGATTCAATTACGTCCCCCCAGGTCCCTCCCTTGACATGTGGGGATTACAGTTCAAGGTGAGATTTGGGTGGGGACACAGAGCCAAACAGTATCAACCACATCTGCAAAAACTGTCTTTCCATAAAAAGGTCACACTCACAGGTAATTTGACATAGCTTTTTGGGGCACACAACTCAACCTGTAATAGGATCCTTACAGGTCTTTGCTGTGGTGGCTATGCTGGTCTGGTGGCCACCCTTGTGGCGCTGAGGTGCTGAGGTTGGGGGATGTTCTGCCGTGGCTTATTAAAGGGCATAGTGCTAGCCATCTCCCATTCTTCCTGCATCTGTACTGCGTGCAGGCTGCAGGGGAGCACAGCACTACCTAAGCCCCATCCAACAGACAAGTGTGGCTCTCTTAACAGGGGGACTTACTACTCGTGTGCCAAATTCAATGCTGCTAATAGGAAGCTTGAAAGCAAACAGTCTATGCTTTGGCAAGGAGGATCCACTCTCACTCCAGCCCCATGTTTCAACGTTTAAAGGGAAGCCAGAATACATACACAGATGGTCTCCAACTTATGATGGTGCAACTTACAACATTTTTACTTTACCATGGTGCAAAAGCAATACCCATTCAGTAGAAACCGTCCTTTGAGTACCCATACAACCACTCTTTTCATTTTCCCTACAGTATTCAATAGATTGCATCAGATATTCAACATGCTATTTTTTTTTTAAACGGAGTTTCGCTTTTTGTTGCCCAGGCTGGAGTGCAGTGGTGTGATCTCAGCTCACTGCAACCTCCACCTCCTGGGTTCAAGCGATTCTCCTGCCTCAGCCTCCCGAGTAGCTGGGATCACAGGCATGTGCCACCACACCTGGCTAATTTTGTATTTTTTTAGTAGAGACGGGGTTTCTCCATGTTGGCCTGGCTGGTCTCAAACTCCCAACCTCATGTGATCCGCCTGCCTCGGCCTCCCTAAGTGCCGGGATTACAGGCGTGAGCCACCACGCACGGCCTCAACATTCTATTATAAAATAGGTTTTGCATTAGATGATTTTGCCCAATTGTAGGCTAATGTAAGTGTTCTGAGCACATTTAAGGTAGGGTGTGTTTGGTAAGTTGAGTGTATTAAATGCACTTTTATTCTGACAATATACAAGACAGTAATATTATTTTTTGACTGAATTAGTGGCTGAATTAATAAGTGAAAGACAAAAGGACTGCTTTTGCAGGGTGAGCTCAAAAACGTACGATGGGTTTACTGGGATGTAGCCCCTTCATGCTGGAGGAACCTCTGTACGTGTGTTTCCTTAGGGCTTTGCAATCACTGTTCCTTCTATCTGGAATGCTTTTTTCCTTGGGTTCCTTTTGAGAGGTGACAGCGTGCTGGCAGTCCTCAGAGCCCTCGCTTGCTCTCGGCACCTCCCCTGCCTGGGCTCTCACTTTGGTGGCATTTGAGGAGCCCTTCAGTCCCCCACTGCACTGTGGGAGCCCCTTTCTGGGCTGGCCAAGGCTGGAGCCCACTCCCTCAGCTTGCAGGGAGGTGTGGAGGGAGAGGCACGAGCGGGAACTGGGGCTGCGTGCGGGCCAGCTGGAGTTCCGGGTGGGCGTGGGCTTGGTGGGCCCCACACTCTGAGCAGCCAGCCAGCCCTGCTGGCCCCGGGCAATGGGGGACTTAGCACCCGGGCCAGTGGCTGCGGAGGGTGTACTGGGTCCCCCAGCAGTGCCGGCCCACCGGCGCTGCGCTCGATTTCTCGCCGGGCCTTGGCTGCCTTCCCATGGGGCAGGGCTCGGGACCTGCAGCCCGCCATGCCTGAGCCTCCCACCCACTCCATGGGCTCCTGTGCGGCCCGAGCCTCCCCGACGAGCGCCACCCCCTGCTCCACAGCGCCCAGTCCCATCGACCACCCAAGGGCTGAGGAATGTGAGCGCACGGTGCAGGACTGGCGGGCAGCTCCACCTGCAGCCCCAGTGCGGGATCCACTAGGTGAAGCCAGCTGGGCTCCTGAGTCTGGTGGGGACATGGAGAGTCTTTATATCTAGCTCAGGGATTGTAAATACACCAATCGGGACTCTATATCTAGCTCAAGGTTTGTAAATACATCAATCAGCACCCTGTGTTTAGCTCAAGGTTTGTGAGTGCACCAATCGACACTCTGTATCTAGCTGCTCTGGTGAGGACGTGGAGAACTTTTATGTATAGCTCAAGGATTGTAAATACACCAATCGGCACTCTGTATCTAGCTCAAGGTTTGTAAATACACCAATCAGCACCCTGTGTTTAGCTCAAGGTTTGTGAATGCACCAATCGACACTCTGTATCTAGCTGCTCTGGTGGGGCCTTGGAGAACCTGTGTGTGGAAACTCTGTATCTAACTAATCTGATGGGGATGTGGAGAACCTTTGTATCTAGCTCAGGGATTGTAAACGCACCAATCAGTGCCCTGACAAAACAGGCCACAGGGCTCTACCAATCAGCAGGATGTGGGTGGGGCCAGATAAGAGAATAAAAGCAGGCTGCCCGAGCCAGCATTGGCAACCCGCTCGGGTCCTCTTCCACACTTTGGAAGCTTTGTTCTTTCACTCTTTGCAATAAATCTTGCTACTGCTCGCCCTTTGGGTCCACGCTGCTTTTATGAGCTGTAACACTCACCGCGAAGGTCTGCAGCTTCACTCCTCAGCCAGCAAGACCACGAACCCACCAGAAGGAAGAAACTCCGAACACATCTGAACATCAGAAGGGACTGACTCCAGACGCGCCACCTTAAGAGCTGTAACAGTCACCGCGAGGGTCCGCGGCTTCATTCTTGAAGTCAGTGAGACCAAGAACCCACCAGTTCCGGACACACTTTCACCTGGCTCAGAGCTCAAATGTAATCTCCTCAGAGTGGCCTTCCCTGCTCCTGCTACCTAGAGTAGCATCTCCCCGTCTCACTCTCTCCCTTCTCCTGCTTTATTTTCTTGGTAAAATATCATTTCAGAGCACGAGGCTTTCTTTAAGCAAAGGACAGACATTTTGCTTATTGCTCAACTAGTTTTTGAGCTCATCCTGAAAAAAGTAGCTTTTTTGTCTTTCACTTATTAATTCAGTCAAAAAATAATATTACTGTCTAGCAGGCTGGGCGTGGTGGCTCATGCCTGTAATCCCAGCACTTTGGGAGACCAAGGTGGGCAGACTCCCTGAGGTCAGCAGTTCGAGACCAGCTTGGCCAACATGATGAAACCGCGTCTCTACTAAAAATACAAAAATTAGCCAGGCATGGTAGAATGTGCCTGTAATCCCAGCTACTTAGGAGGCTGCAACAGGAGAATCACTTGAACCTGGGAGGCAGAGGTTGCAGTGAACCAAGATCGCACCATTGTACTCCAGCCTGGGCAAAAGAGTGAGACTCCATCTCATATATACTTGAGATGTATATATATGTATATATGTATACTTTTATATATATGTATACGTGTATATATGTATGTGTATACATGTATACATGTATGTGTATACGTGTATACATGTATGTGTATGCATGTATACATGCATGTGTATGCATGTATACATGCATGTGTATGCATGTATACATGCATGTGTATGCATGTATACATGTATGTGTATGCATGTATACATGTATGTGTATGCATGTATACATGCGTGTATGCATGTATACATGCGTGTATGCATGTATACATGCGTGTATGCATGTATACATGTGTGTATGCATGTATACATGTGTGTATGCATGTATGCATGTGTGTATGCATGTATGCATGTGTGTGTATGCATGTATGCATGTGTGTGTATGCATGTATGCATGTATGTGTGTGCATGTATACATGTATGTGTATGCATGTATGCATGTATGTGTATGCATGTATGCATGTATGTGTATGCATGTATGCATGTATGTGTGTGCATGTATACATGTATGTGTATGCATGTATATAGGTGTACATGTGTATGCATGTATATAGGTGTATATGTGTATGCATGTATATATGTGTGTATATGTGTACATGTATATATGTATGTGTACATGTATATATGTATGTATGTATACATTATGTATACATATCTGTCAAGCATAATGTCAGAATTAGCAATATTGATTAAATTATGTAGTCCTTGAAGGTAGAAACTCTTTTTCACTATTGAATCCTCACCACCTGGCATACAATAGATACTCAATAATTCCTTGTGTGGGTGATAAATGAATGGGATTCCATAACAAAGTTGATCTGTGTAAGACTTTTATTTCACTCTTTCTATAAAATTAAGTCCACAATTTTTCCATGGATCCTTGCCCAAGACCACATGTTGAAAAGAACTTATACGAATGGCAGATAGCATCACGGCTAAAGAAATAGAATCTTTTGAAGACAATAACTATTTTACTTTTAAAATTGCTCACAAATTAAAGAATGCTGGTAGAGATAACAAAGATGATTTCCAGGAGTAAGAGGCCATCATGCAGTTTGTGATTTCCAGATACTTTTGCAGAAAGGCAACCATGCTGTAGAGTCAGTAGCAGAGTTTTCACCACCTGTCTAAGACAGAGGAAAATGACCCCAAAAAAAAAAGGCAACTTCAGGCCCTTCTTCAAAAATGCAAATCCAGGGCTACTTCCAGCTGTCTCCATAGCATGGCAAAACAATATTCCCAGCCAAGCTTCAAGCCATTAAGAAAAACCATCACAGCTGTGCGCGGTGGCTCACGCCTGTAGTCCCAACACTTTGGGAGGCCCAGGAAGGCGGATCACGAGGTGAAGAGATTGAGACCACTCTGGCCAACATGGTGAAGCCCTGTCTCTACTAAAAATACAAAAATTAGCTGGGCGCGGTGGTGCATGCCTGTAGTCCCAGCTACTCAGGAGGCTGAGGCAGGAGAATCGATTGAACCTGGGAAGCAGAGATTGCAGTGAGCCAAGATGAAGCCACTGCACTCCAGCCTGGTGACAGAACAAGACTCTGTCTCAAAAAAAAAATAAAAGAAAAGAAAAACCATCACATATGTTTGGCAGGGGCCAACATATCCATGGGGTTCAGTAGGCCCACAGTACTTCCAGGGACCCACAAAAGTGTTCTAATAACATTTAAAATCAGAAGAAAAAAATGAACTGTTAAGTCAAAGGAAAAATGTTCTAATATATAATATGTTAATACATAATATCATTATATTCATCTTTATACCAACACAGTCCTAAAATATTACTTTTGATTTTTTTTTAATGGAGGAAGAAAACCTTGAAAGCAAAAGTGCCTAGGGCCTGTGAAAGTCATCACATGACCCTGATTTGGCGTCTGCTTTGCCTTAAAAAAGCATTCTAGACAGATATTCAGCTGGAAATACTGAAATGGGCTCATGCCAAAAGAACTAGATCTCTTGTTATCCAGAAAACCATATTTTCTAGGCAGATTCATTTCCCCCAAGATGCCTAAGAGTCATGATAACATATTTTAGAGGCGAGATTAATGCGATCGCCCCATAAAATATTTTAAGCTCTCATCTGTTCTGAAACAAAGTACGCAACATGTCACCAAGAGAAAATGACTGCTCATACCGAGAAAATGTATTTTCTTCGAGGTGCCACAGCCACTGTAATTTGCACCTCCTGAAGTGTAGATGGAAGTCCCCTCAACATGTACAGACAGTTAAAAGAGTCACGGTAATGATAGGACTAGAGAATGTGCCCAGCTGAGAAAATAAGCACACAGCGAGCATTGTCAGAGCTGAAAATTAAGATCCCCCAAGCAAACATTTCAGATAGAGCCCCTCATCTTTTGTTAAAAGTAAAATGAAAATCAACAGCCCTCTACACCACATCTGAGCCATGGAAGTCACTCCCTTTAGGTGTCTAAGAGACGACTGCAGCTTCAGTGCCTGGCTCAGATTAGCTTTGTTCTTCCTTGTCTCTTATCCTTTGAATAGCTCTGACAGTGCCACAAGGAGTAATTACCAATTCGCAGGGGGACACATCTTCAGTTAAAGTGGATTATCTGCAAGTTGAGGGGTGGGGGTTGCTGGCGGCTACAACTGAGTTAGGTATTAAGTATAATCTGCAAATGCAGGGAGAGTTCTGCAGAGCCCCAGGCAGTTCTTAACTTTCTAGAAGTAGCTCCCAGCTGAGGCCTCCCCTGGTCTCCAGGCATCTGGATAATGTCTTAACTGGTAGAGTGATGGTTAAGAGCATGAGTTTTGGGGGCAAATTTCCTGGTTTTATGCACTGGCACTTCCTAGCTCATGTGATTCTGGGCAAGTTACTTCACTACAGTGAGCGACAATCAGAATGGGTCCAAAATTGTACCAGCCATAGCAAGGTGCTGCAGATGTAGCAGGACGAATTGCAGACAAAACTCAGACACCAAGTTAAAGAAGGAAGAGGTTTATTCAGCCGGGAGCATCGGCAAGACTCCTGTCTCAAGAGCCAAGCTACCCGAGTGAGCAATTCCTGTCCCTTTTAAGGGCTCACAACTCTAAGGGGGTTCCGTGTGAGAGGGTCGTGATCTATTGAGCAAGCAGGGGGTATGTGACAGGGGCTGCATGCACCGGTGGTCAGACTGAGACAGAACAGACCAGGAAGTTTCACAGTGTCTTTCTATACAATGTCTGGAGTCTATAGATAACATCAGTTGCTAGGTCAGGGGTCGAATTTTAACTACCAGGCTTAGGTCAGGCGGGCCCAGGCCTGGTTTCGGGTCTGGTTCCTAGGCACTGGGCTACCTGCCTTTAGTTTCGCTTCTCTTTCCTTTTCTGATTATAGAACAATATAAAACAATATGAGAGGGTCTGTCTCTCTTCTCTCACAAACATTAATAAGACATTGTGTTTCAAATGCTAAGCATACATCTAATACATGGTAATAACCCCAAGAATCTTTAGCTGTTACCATTATATTTTTATATTTTTTTTAATTAAAATTGAATCCCTTTTTTTTTTTTTTTTTTTTTTTTTTTTTTGTCTTTTGTGACAGAGTGCCTCTATTGCCCAGGCTGGAACGCAGTGCTGTGATCTTGGCTCACTGCAACCTCCGCCTCCCAGGTTCAAGCCATTCTCATGCCCCAACCTCCCAAGTAGCTGGAATTACAGGGGTGTGCCACTACACCTGGCTAATTTGTGCCACTACACCCGGCTAATTTGTGCCACTACACCTGGCTAATTTTTGCATTGTTAGTAGAGACAGGGTTTCGCCATGTTGGCCAGGATGGTCTCGAACTCCTGGCCTCAAGTGATCCAAAGTGCTGGGATTACCAACATAAGACATGGCACCCAGCCTCTGTTATCATTATTAAGCATTCATTTAAGCCAAGATCTAAGGGGAACCAAGGCCCAGTAGCAAATCTGCTAATACTCAGGAAATGGGTTTGTGAGAAATGTTGCTGTTCTTTATCATTATTATTATTATTATTATTATTATTATTATTATTACTATTACTGCTACATTCACTATGAGAAAACATTCACGTCTCAGAAATAACAGTAATAAGGGGTAAGCATTGCCAGGAGGAGGCAGAAGGCACATACTGGCCAAGTCCGGCTCTACGCCCTGTGTGTACAGATATGTCTTCCAACTTTCGAAAAGTCTTTGTAAAGGTTTTCGCTGATTTGAGCTGTTTTCAGCTAAGTCACCAGAACATCCAGAATCTAATTTTAAATGAAGGTTATTATAATGTCCCTCAGTTTCGTAGCCTCTTATTCAAGAGAGATTAGAATTCTGTGAAGGAAAAGCTTTGTTTTAAGTTCCAAGGGATGTAAAGATTTGCTAGGCTGTCTTTAAATCCCATTTGGGAACTCACCATTTATATAAAAATGGATGACATATAATGTGTCTTTGGGAACAGTGAACTCTGAAGAGAAAGATATGGTCAAATGGCCCGGCCTCCTCCCACCTCGGAGGATACACTGCACCCTCTTCCTACCCCTGATTTGGCCCTTTCACAAATCTCAGCTCTAGACTGAGGCAGAAGGACATAAAGATGCCCATTTCCAAAGCTCTCCGGCTCCCCAGTGCCTCTGGTTCTATCCATCTTTGTGACCTGACGTCTCAGTGGCTGGGTCCCAGATAGGGAGCTCTGGTCTCCGGTTCCTGGAGGCTGAGCCTGAATCCCTCCACGCAGAAAGAGAGTCAGGGACAGCACCGGGGGCTGAATCCCTGCCCCACCTTCTAGCAGAGTGACCTCAGTCAGGTGACTTTACTCCTCAGGCTGTTTCTTTTCTGGATAACAAAAGGTCATTCAACCCCATCTTGTGGATTTTCTGTGGAGATTTAGTTAGATAAAGGACTGGCACACAGGGTGAAGTGAGGCAGCCTTCCCCTCTTCCGCACAGTGCCACACAGAACAGGGGTCTGAGGACTTGCCTTCTCCCCTGCATGGCTGGTCCCCCCCTACCCCTGCCCTTCCCTGGTGTTTCCACCGCACCCCACCAGCTGGAATGACATCCAGGATTGAACTCAATAGCCCCTTGGCTTACAGGGCCACTTTCTCCACACCTACCCTGGCAGACTTGATCTCATATTTGCTTTCAGTATAAGATCCAGTTGAGCATCCTTCCATTAATGCCCCACAGAACAAGTCTCAGCCTTCTCCCTGGTGCCGGCCTTTCCAACACCTGAAGGCAGTGACGGTGTGCTTCTAGAGTCTTCTCTTCCCCACATTCAGCATCCACAGTTCCTTCCAGTCTGCTTCACATGACACCGTCTCAAGCATGGTGCCATCCTCAAAACACACCCCGGTTTATTATTGCTTTCCTGCTCAAGATGCTCTGTCCAGAACTGATCACCTCTCTGGGGTATGCTGACCACCCCAGGGGATGGTCTCAGAAACCACTTTCTAAATTGGAATATAGACTCCATCCTTTTCATGACTCAGTCAGGTCTCACTCTTAATTCCTAAATCCCAAATAATTAACAAAAATACCAGAGTCCTGAGGGGTTGCTGGAAAACAAAACTGGAAAAAAAAATCCAGTTTTCTTCTATCAGCCCCATTGTCCCAACAAAGGAGGGGGAGAGGAGGCTACGTGCAGTTACCAGGTGTGTCCTATACAATTTGGTATTGAAGGTGATTGGGGTGGGGGAAGGCACGATGGCATTTCCAAATATAGAAATTGGTTATTCGTTTCTGCTAAACTGTATTTAGTTATATCTAGGGAAATCATTTCAGCCTCTCGGAGTCCCTTTGGCTCACGATAATGTCCTCTTGAGTGGAGCCATCCCTTTTTACTAAATGCCATATGGCACATTCATCAATGTGCCATTGATGTCTTTATCCAAGTTAATAAAATGATTAAATGTAGGCTTGGAATCACCACTAAAATTCTCCTTGAAGCCAATTTCTACCTATTTATCAAATTCCACCACTGTTCATCTCATGATTAATCTACCTTTAAAATACTCTCATGCATCACTGAACGACAGGGATACGTTCTGAGAAGAGTGTCATTAAGCAATTTCATCATTATGCGAATACCACAGAGTGCACTTACACAAACCCAGAAGGTGCAGCCTTCTACACACCCAGGCTCTGTGCTACAGCCCATTGCTCCCAGGCTGCAGACATGTGCAGCACGCCACTGCACTCAATACTGTAGGCAACGGTAACACAACGGTATTTGTTCACTAAACATAGACAAAGTATGGTAAAAATATGATATAAAAGATAAAAATTGGCTGGGCGTGGTGGCTCATGCCTGTAATCCCGGCACTTTGGGAGGCCGAGGCAGGCGGATCACAAGGTCAGGAGATCGAGACCAGCCTGGCCAGCATGGTGAAACCCCGTCTCTAGTAAAAATACAAAAAAAATTAGCTGGGTGTGGTGGTGTGTGCCTGTAGTCCCAGCTACTCGGGAGGCTGAGGCAGGAGCATCGCGTGAACCTGGGAGTTGGAGGTTGCAGTGAGTCAATATCACACCACTGCACTCCAGCCTGGGGACAGAACAAGACTCCGTCTCAAAAAAAATAAATAAAAAATAAAAGTAAAAATTGGTACCCCTATATAGGACACCTAACAGGAATGAAGCTTGGCAGGACTGGAAGTTGCTCTGGATGAGTGAGTGGGTGGTAAGTGAATATGAAGGCCTAGGACATTATACTACTGTAGATTTTATAAGCACTGGACACTTTGGCCACATTAAATTTACCTTTTACAATTTTCTTTCTTTAATAATAAATTAACCAGCTGGGTGCAGTGGTTCATGTCTGTAATCCCAGCACTTTGGGAGGCAGAGGAGGGTAGACCACTTGAGGTCAGGAGTTAAAAACCAGCCTGATCAACATGGTGAAACCCCGTCTCTACTAAAAATACAAAAATTAGCCTGGTGTGGTGGCATATGCCTGTAATCCCAGCTACTCGGGAGGCTGAGGCAGGAGAATTGCTTGAACCCAGGAGGCAGAGGTTACCGTGAGCCGAGATTGTGCCACTGCATGCACTCCATCCTGGTCAGCAGAGGAAGACTCCATCTCAAAATAAATAAATAAATAAAATAAATTAACCTTAGCATACTGTACCTTTTCTAACTTTATAGACTTCTTAATGTTTTCAAACTTTTTCACTTTTTCATATTTTTGTCTAACACTTAGATTAAAACACAAACACATTATACAGCTGTAAAAAATATTTCTTTTTATATGCGTATTCTATAAGATTTTGCTATTTAAAAATTTGTTTTTAACTTTTAAGACTTTTTTATTGAAAACTAGGACACAAATGCACACATTTGCTTTGGCCTCCACAGGGTGAGGATCATCAATACCACTGTCTTCCACCTGCACACCTTGTCACACTGGGAGGTCTTCAGGGGCAGTGACACACATGGAGCTGTCATCTCCTGTGATAACAATGCCTTCTTCTGGAATAGCTCCTGAAGGACCTGCCTGAGGCTGTTGTACAATTACCCTTTTTAAAAATAAAAAATAAAAAAAAAGTAGGCCAGGTGCAGTGGCTCACACCTGTAATCCCAGGACTTTGGGAGGCTGAGGCAAGCAGATCATGAGGTCAGGAGTTCGAGACCAGCCTGGCCAACGTGGTGAAACCCCGTCTCTACTAAAAATACAAAAATTAGCCAGGTGTGGTGGCGGGTGCCTATAATCCCAGCTACTTGGGAGGCTGAGGCACAAGAATCGCTTGAACCCAGTAGGTGGAAGTTGTGGTAGCTCAGATTGTGCCACTGCACTCCAGCCTGGACGACAGAGCGAGACTCAGTCTCAAAAAACAACAACAACAAAAAAGAAGTATACTCTAAAATAATGATAAAAAGCACATTATGATAAATGCCAGGCAATAGAAAAATTTCAGCTCCATTATAATCTCCTGGGACCACCCTCCTACATGTGGTTCATCCTTGACCAAAGCATCATTATGTGGTGCCTGACTGTACTACTCAAACATATTACAATGAGACCATATCTATTTGTCTTGACCACAAAAATGTCATGAGAAACTTACTAAAATGCTTTGCTGAAATTTAGATGGCCTCTCTCAGTGCTCTCCCACCTAGGAGGCTATTACCCCAATCTGAAAATAAAGGAACTGGCTTTAGGGGTTCAGCAGTGAGAATAGGTGTTGACAGGAAGAAGTATCCAAAGGCCTCCCAGTGGGTCTCCGGACTGTGTCCCTTGGTGGCATCCAGGGTGGTTGCGATCGTATGGTTTAAATTTTGTGATGATCCACTGGAGCTTCAAGTTCAGCCTCAAAGCATTAGGCTCTGTTTTCTGAACATCATTTTATATGGCAAGGTCCCGAGATTCTAATTTTTTCTTGTGTTAATTATGTGACATGGAGCGTCAGTTAAGGGAACCATCCAATACACTTTCCAGAAACAGTTCTCCCTCTCAGTTTCTTCGTGTGCTTGACTGGCTCATGGCCCTGGGGAAACCATCGCTTTCAATCCCTACCTCAGGTCCATTTCGTGATGTTTATGCATTCATGCGATCTTAGTCCTCAAAGGATTTTTTTTTCTTCTCTTGGGTAAGATAGCTTTAGAGGCCTTCTGGGATAGGAATTATAATACAACTGAGAACAAAGGAAGAAAAATAAAAAGTGAACTACTTTCTGTTTTACTGAATCATTCAACTTGACATTATCTGGAAATACAAAAATTTGCTAACACACTTTTCCTAGCCTACACTTTGTTATGCTGCTTGTGAAATGTATGAGGTCAACACCTTTCTACCCTTTTTTCCCCATTGTCGCAAATTCTCCTGCTGTCCAGAGTTAGTTTCAAATGACCCTCTGCTAGTCTTGGCCGGCATACCTACCAGTGGCTTGGAGAGGAATTAAGGAAAAGCTTGAAAACTGAAGCTCATTTTTTTGTATGGTGTTGGCTAGAGTTTAACGTGGTTCTCCAAAGCCAAAAAAACATTTTAGCAGAAGCGGAGCACACACAGAGATAAATTATTTTTCTGTACTACATTTCAGTTGGTAATTTCGTACACAGGATTCTATTTCTGCTGCTATCAAGATAAAATGCAAAAGTGGAAACATTCCAATGAGTAAGAAGCAGGTCTGTTCATTCCCAGCTCATGAGAAACTCAGGACGCACATTAGTGTTCTGTTTCCCAGCAGCAAATAGCCAGGACATATAGCTTCAATTTACTGGGATTCGAAGAAGTCAAATCAGACCTGATTTCCCATGAAGTAAATCATAGCACCCAGCTCTGTGGTTTGAGTGACAGGTACATCCATTATTCTGAAAGGTCTTGTTACTTTCAGCAGAGCTTGTTATTCTTAGCCCTAAAAAATCATGCCATGTGACAGGGCACCTGAGGCTGAGGAATGGGGCACCAGCACCTTCCAGGCTTTCTATCTTACATCTGACAACTTGAAACATCCAGGAAAGAAGTGGAAAATCCACATATCAGATGTGTGCTCCTACCCATTCCAAATGTCTGGTGTTTGGGAAACATTTAAGGGATCATAAATTCTCTTTTGTGTCAATGTTTTTGGTACTGTGTAATTACAACTATATATGTATAGTTATGTATATATGTATGTTATACTATATATAAAACTATATATAGTTACATATATGTATATATACAACTATATAAATATATAAACTATAAATATAAAATATAAATATATATATTTTTATATATATATAGTATATTATATATATACAATTTTTTTTGAGACAGAGTCTTGCCCTGTTTCCCAGGCTTGAGCGCAATGCCGTGATCTCGGCTCACTGCAACCTCTGCCTCCCAGGTTCAAGTGATTCTCTTGCCTCAGCCTCCCGAGTAGCTGGGATTACAGGCGTCCACCACCACGCCCAGCTAATTTTTTGTATCTTTAGTAGAGATGGGGTTTCACCATGTTGGCCAGGCTGGTCTCAAACTCCTGACCTCGTGATCCACCTGCCTCGGCCTCCCAAAGTGCTGGGATTACAGGCGTAAGCCACCATGCCCGGCCATTACAACTATATTCTAAGATTAACTAGCAATCATAAGTTTTTTGTTTTCAGTCTAGATTTTAGAAATGCGAATGACACCAGGCCCAACACTTTGGGAGGCCGAGGCAGGTGGATCACGAGGTCAGGAGTTCAAGACCAACCTGGCCAAGATGGTGAAACCCCCTCTCTACTAAAAATACAAAAAAAAAAAAATTAGCCAGACATGGTGGCGGGCGCCTGTAATCTCAGCTATTCGGGAGGCTGATGCAGAGAATTGCTTGAACCTGGGAGGTGGAGGTTGCAGTGAGCCGAGATTGCGCCACTGCACTCCAGCCTGGGTAACAGAGCAAGACTCCATCTCAAAAAAAAAAAGAAAAAAAGAAACGTGAGTGACAATTTCAACCTATTTAGTATCCCCAAAAGCTCAGGAGCTGTGATAAATTGATACAAATAAAAATGTAATACTTCATCTTTTTGCAAAATAGTGCAGTGGGCTCTATGAAGACATTTCTTTTTATTGTTGACTCTGGAAAGAAAAAATCCAGTTTTGTGTTATCAGTCCTTAGAAAAAGATTTATGAGTTAAAATGCAGCAGAGGCCAGGTGCAGTGGCTCCCATCTATAACGCCAGCACTTTGGGAGGCTGAGGGGGATAGGATTGCTTGAAGCCAGGAGTTCGAGACCAGCCTGGGCAACATAATGAGACCCTGTATCTACAGAAAATTTTTAAAAACAAGCCAGTCATGGTGGTGTGCGCCTGTAGTCCCAGGTACTTAGGAGGCTAAGGTGAAAGGATCACTTGAGCCCAGGGGTTCAAGGGTACAGCGAGGCCTATGATCACACCGCTGCATTCCTGCCTGGCTGACAGTGAGACCCTGTCTCTAAAAATAATTAAAATTCAAAATGTGGTAGAGACACTAGAAGGAAAAATGATTCTGCTTCTCCCAGCATTCTGCCTCTGCATAATTGAGTTAGTGCATTTCATAGGTCAAGAACTATTTAAATTACACCTGCATATTTTAGTCCTGCATATTTCTTCATAAGAGAGAAAAGCATCTAATAAATACAATGAAATTTCATTCATGTCTTTATTTAAGGGATGAATAAAATGTCACAGTACCTAATCGTATACATCAATTATGGATCCAGATTTAATTCTGGCTGTGCCTCTTTGGAAAGGCAGCTGATGAGCAAGACATCACTGATCAAAAACTGCATTCTGTTAGAGCAGGAGCTGACAGGGAACCTAGATGCCAGCATTTCCATGCCCTGCCTGATGTTTACCATTTGATCACGTTCGAACTGAGGAATGAGGCTTATCGGATTTTATGTTGCTTTTTTTAGATGAATGCTCTTGGCTTTTTGTTGTTGTTATGGTTACTTCCCATTGATTTATTCCACTAACCATTTAGACTCCCGTTCATTCACCTACGGCCAAATGGGACTAGAATGGAAAAACGGAATCCTACCCGATCAATGCAAATTCTATTTCTCTCTCTCCAAGAGGCCCAGATGACCAGCCCTGACACTGGGAGCCACTGGGAGCTTCAGGTGCTGGCCCAGCAGTGCCTGGCCATGTTTTCAAGTGTACATCAGGTGACCACTCACCTGTTGTACTTCAGTCTGATTTTCCAAGGAGTATTTAAAACCACCCAGGCAGTGATTTCAAACCGACTTTCTACTTATTCCACAAGGTACCGTCGAACCACTGTTCTACGTGTGAGGCCTGTGGAGGGTTTATACAGCAATGAGTGTTCAGTGTTAAGTCCTGCCTTCCTTCATAGAAGAGAAATTTATCAGTTCCTCTGGGTGTCAGTTTTAGAGCAATACAACAACGTTTTGAAAGACAAATCCATTTTTAATGAGACGGACAGATTTTCAGGTAATAGTACTGCTAGAAATAACATATAATGATCTACTGGTTCTGAATACACTGCTGAATTCCTGAATACGCTGAAGACCTCCCCCTCCTCTTTCCTGGTTATGTTCTGCACCTGTTTACACTATGAAGCTGAAAAACAAACTTTGACTATAGCTAACTATGATTGTTCTAATTTCCATAGTACTTGATCCCCTCCCACACACCAAACTATGAATGACAGACTGCTGAATAGATGGTTTCAGTCATAGACCGTCCCTGACTTATGGTTCCACTTAGAAGTTTTCAACTTTACCATGGTTCAAAAGTGATATGCGTTCAGTAGAAACCGTACTTTGAATACCCATACAACCATTCTGTTTTCCACTTTCAACACTTTATTATAAAATAGGTGTGTTAGATGACTTTACTGAACTGTAGACTAATGTAAGTGTTCTGAGTATGTTTAAGGTAGGCTGGGCTATGCTATGATGTTCAGTAGGTTACGTGTATTTAATGCATTTTTGATTTACAATATTCCCACCTTACGATGGGTGTATGGGGAGGTAACCCCATTATACGTTGAAAAGCATCTGTATATTCATTCCTACAGTCACTGGTGATTACTTTGTCCAAGGCATTATTTTGGGGGAACACAAAGAGAAGTGACATTTAGTCCCAGCTGTCAAGAAAACTTTAATTCTAGGAAAGGCACAGTTGCGGGCCTCTGGCCCATCCGAAGAGAGCAGGAACACACCTGGTCCAGTTAGGTAGAGCCGGGAGCAGAATCCAGGAGGAAGCCCCACTCAGCGGGGGTCTCTGGTGTTCTAAAGTGATGGATAGTGACTGGTACTAAGTGTGAGGGGAGAGGGTGGATTACACCTGAATAGTACAGAGGCTCTAAGGCAGAACATCCAGGGACTTAGAGAGACGTCAAACTCCTCCACAACAATGTTCCCCAAACAAGAGTCATTTGAGGACCAATGTCACGATTTTTGCCATTTCTGATGACATTTTTACCATTTCTAGTGGCCTCCTTTACTGTTGTTTACTTAACATTTTCCTTTAAATGGACTCACTATTTTTACTTAAATAAATTTATGTTAAAAAGTTTATGTTAAAGAGAAATTTTGCAATACTACCATGAAATGAAATGCCAGTACCGCTTGCTGTCACGATACGGTGGTGCTAAAAATACGTAATATAAAAATATAATGAAACTCAGCACTGTTGCCCACCGAAGCATCCAGGTCTGAGGTCTGACCTCTCTTTGTTAAAAAGGGAAAATAGCAAGTATTGGCACCATAATAAAGATAGTCCAGCCCCACACTGAGCCGGCCTGAGACTCTGAGAAATTGAAAGGGAATCGGGGAAGGAATAAGACTGGATGTTATTTAGCTCCCAGTCTGTGAATTACCTAAAGACCCCCAGTGCCACCAGTGCGACATACTTCACCCCAGAACAGAGGGAAGGAACAGAATGGTAGGCAGTGCTTTGGGGCCAGTTGTACTACAGTCTCTGCAGAGCAACCATATGCTGTGTCAGGGCTGGAACCAGGTTTGGCCATCTGTGTTGACCCCACAGATTCTATGAAGGGTGACTTCCACAATCCCTAGCACACTGGGGAGCACACAGTACATACTTATCAAAAGTCTTAAATTAAGTCTCACTGATGCCCTAAAATCTTCTGCCTGTTTCATAAAAAGTAGAAAATGAAGTTGACAGTGATTCTTTGTATCTCATAATATCACATCGCCCTCCCCAAAAAGGAACATTGATAGAAAACTATAAGATATAAAACCTAACAAAAATCATCTGGTGAATAGATCCCATGGAATACACAAGAAGAAGATATAGGTGCATTTAAATAATCTCAAAGGAAAAGAAGAAATCTCCTTTGAGAAGTCACATCTAAATGCTTATCCAGGCTGGGCACAGTGGCTCATGCCTATAATCCCAGCACTCTGGGAGGCCGAGGTGGGTGGATCGCTTGAGCCTAGTTGTTTGGGACCAACCTGGGTAACATAACAAAACCCCGCCTCTACAAAAAAATACTAAAAAAAAAAATTAGTCGGGCATGGTAGCACACGAGTGTGGTTCCAGCTACTCAAAGAGGCTGAGGTGGGAGGATTGCTTGAGCCCGGGAGGTTGAGGCTGCAGTGAGCTGAGATTGTGCCTTGCACTCCAGCCTGGATGACAGAGTAAGACCCTGTCTCATAAATAATAAATAAATAAATCCCTGTCCAAATAAATAAATGCTTATCCAATCGCTGAAAAGGAGCTCAAGCATGTACACGAGGCCCCAAGCACAGCTCTGTCCTCCGTGGAGCTGGCTTTATTCTCCCAGTGTTTCCTGCTCAGGTGCCCTTTTCTCTTTCATTTCTCACAACACTCCCGCCTCTCACTTGGCATTCAGTAACTGAACAAGGAGCGGGAAAGCATGCTAATGCATCGCAAATGGAGTTGCTGCATTTCCTTAAAAGGACTGTCATGAGCATTTCATTTTAACGTATTACCCGGAATTGTGTCAGTGTTTTAAGTGAACTATTTTCTGTAATCCATATCGTTATGAATATAAGACATTAACGTACTGATTGCCACTTGAGAATCTCATTTTAAAGTGATTGTACTGCATTTCTAAAATTTGCATTTTTAAAGCAAGTTTCCCCCACAAATAACACCTTACCCAAGACACCTCCAGGCAGAACGTTGTTTCTTACAGTAAATGATATTTTAATATTTGGTTTCAGTAGAGACCAGTCTAATCAATTATAGAGTAACATACTTTACTTGTAATAAATTCAAAAAAGTGATAGCTATACTGTCATTTGTAGATGTTCTTAAGAAATATGGAATCTTATTCCAGACAGGCATTTCTATAACTTTGTGGTGCTATCAATGATGCTAATGAAGATTTGACATCAGTTCACCACATTTTTGAAAATCAAATTGTTGGCTCAGCCGCTAATGAAACACAATCTCAAAGCAGTTTTAACAACCATTTACATTTTTTCTGAAAACCTCACTCTACCGTTTCTATGGGGTCCCTGACTAGAAATATCAAAAGTCTACATGAATATAAAACAATATAGTCTATTTTTCAAAGAGAAATTGAGACTGATGCAAAATATTTGACTTCTTTTTTTTTTATATGAAACATAAATGTTTATTCATTGGCAAAGCCTTAACTTCTCTAAGCCTCGTTTCCCTCATCTGTCACTTGGCGGGTAATCCTATTTAGCTCAGAGGGTTACCAGGAGACTTAATGGGATACTGCATAATAAGTACTAAGCACAGTGCCCCCCATCATGTACTGCCCTTGGTCTGTGCTCTAATATTGAAGCAGGATGCTTCCCTGACCGCTTTGTGGGACTTGCAACAGGGGTGCCCTCAATTACCCAGCCCACAGCTTTCAACTCCTCATGGGAGGAAGCACGCATGTGAATGAGGCAGGAACTGGAGTGCATGAATGCTGAAACCAGCCAGCCACTTAGGTACTGCCAGGAGCAAACGCCACTCACTTGGACCCACTGTGCTCCACCCCTTGCAGGGGTAAGCACGCGGGTGAGTGGGTGCAGGAGCCAGGGTGAGCGCTTTTGAGCGCCAACAGGAGTGAACTCTGTGCAGGCTCCGTGGCAGCATCTAGGGGTGGTGCCTGCAACCCCTGAAGCCCCAGAGGGCATGTTACAGTGCTTTTAGTTCTGCTGTCCCCAGACAGCCTAAGTATCAACAGCTCAGTGGCTTTTCACGTAAGCTGGCTGCCTTCTGCCAGTGAGTACAAAGGGCAAGTGTGACAGCCTTTTGTAGCCACACTAGCAGCATCCGAGCTCTTGTCCCACATCCAGGAGAAATGACATCACACAAATTGAAGGATGACAAATGTAGGGGATTTTTATTGCCGATGAAAGTGGCTCTCAGCAGGAAGGGAAGTTGAAAAGGGGATGGAGAGGGAAGGTAATCTTCTCCTGAAGTCCAGCCATCTCTGGCCAGATTCTTCTCTGATGTTACGTGTCAAGCTGTCCCTCTGAAGTGAAGCTGCTTCTCTCCAATGTCTAACCATAGTCACCAACGTCCAGCTGCTTCTCTTCTCTCTGCCAGCTGAGTATGGGGTTTTTATAGGCACAGGATGTCAGGGGGCAGGCCCATGGGTGGTTTTGGAAAAGGCAACATTTGAGCTGGAAAACAGGGATGTAAGTTCTCACTTTGGGCTGCAGTTTCTGGCTTGAGGGTGAGGGTTTGACAGGGACCCGCCCCTTTCTGCCTAGATTTTCTCTGCCACCTTTCTCTACCATTGTATCAATATTATTATCACATGGCCCTGAGTTGGAACCATCAGGTCCTGCAAACTCCAGAGCATCTACTTACTGCACATTGGCCCCCCCCCAGGGGAATTGGTCCCAGCCAAGGGTCTCTAGGAAAGAGGCACATCAACTAGATGTGGAACACACTCCGGTTTTGGAAGTACTGGTTCTGTTCTCCAGGGCATCAGAATCCTCCTTTTTGTGACCCTGCTGCCTTACAGGAAAGAAACAACAGTTGAAACACTGGGAATTTTCCCCAATAGGGAGAAGGCACAGAAAGGAGAAAGCTAAAGAAGAGAGTGAAAGAGGCCCAAAGAGAATGGAAAAGTGAGAGCAGGCCATTTGCCAGGGCTCATTCCTGCCATCCAGCCCCAGCTTCTGGCTGCTCAGTGGACGCTTCTGCCAATGCTCACAGCCCCACAGGCCTGGGCCCGGGAGCCTCTGCTGCCACCCGTGGTTTCTCTCCCTGTTCCACCATCGGAACCCCGTGCCCCAGGCTCTCTCCCTTGAGGCCACCTCAGAAGGAGATACCAAGGGGAAGACAGCTCTTTAAGAAGTGTAGACTCCATGTTAAATTGAGACCCCGCAGACAGATACGGCTTTGAAACAATTGATTTTCTGTGGTGTCATAGGGAAACCTGCCCTCCTCAAAGTTGCGAAAACTGTCAGGGACCCTATGAAATGGAGCGGGAGTCACAAGTTTTCTACCCAGCTCTAAAAGAGGAGACAAAACTAACACTGGTTCACAATAGATAACAGAACGGCTTCAGCAAAGGGCAAGCAAGCGTAGAGAGATGCTGGAGAAGAACAAGGCACTTTATCCATGTCCCCCACAGCACCCTGCCTCAGCGCCGGGGCAAAAGAATCTTTGTGTGAGCCCAGGGAGTCGGCAGGGACATGAGGGGTTGATGCGGCACTTGCTCAGAGCAATCGCAGTGCTGCCGCTGGAATTATCTTTCTCACACAGTTCCCAGTAGTGGTTAAAAGGCTCTGAGGTCAGTCCGCCTGGCCCACTAGCTAAGGGCTCTTAAGCATTTAAGGACTCTTTCAACATTTGTTTCTGTTAGTTTCTAAAACTTGGAACAGAGGGCCATTGATTTAACTGGTATAACAACGTGTGGGTACATTGCACTTGTTACCTTGGAAATGCCTCTACTCAGTCTCACCTCTGAGCTGAGTTAGTTTGGGAAGATGTTGAGCCTACAGGTAGTGGGGAGATGGTGAGATTCACCAAGGCATGTGTTGTTTGTGATTGATTGGGTTGGGAAAGTTTCCTGACTGCCAAAACCTCCATCAGACACTAGCCGGGGATTCTGTAAATCTCAGAATTCCAAGGGGATTGGATTTTGAAGAAAGGAGATGTTCACGTACAGGCTACTAGAATTCTTGTTCTTTTTTTTTTTTTTTTTTTAAAGAATTCTGAAGAAGAAAATAAGTAAGAGATCTAAAACAGAACCATATTTTGCCAGGAGGGCAGAGCAGGGCTGCTTTGTTCAATTTGTTAAGAGGGTCAGGGAAGCATCAGAAAAGATAAGGAGAAAAATCAATCAGAACCAAGTCACTGTTGTGAGTTTCGGCAGCGTCTGAAGTAGCCAGAAGGTACTGAGAAATGTATTTTATCACATATAGTCTTATTTTCACCCTACCGTATTTTCTGTTAACACAAGGTTCCTTTAAAGTCAAGTATGCAGCCCTAAATCTTATCGACCCATTAATATTTCATCCAAAACAATGTAACATCTTAAACTGAAACCTAAATGTAAGCTTTGGACACAAGCATTCAAAGACAGGTATGTTGTACAGCTGGACTATGGTGAGTCAAGTAACATTTTCATTTCTTTTTTTCTTTTAGAAACAGGGAAAATTGACCAAGAGATTCACAAATACAACACCCCAGGATTCACTGGTTGCCTCTCCAGAGTCCAGTTCAACCAGATCGCCCCTCTCAAGGCCGCCTTGAGGCAGACAAACGCCTCGGCTCACGTCCACATCCAGGGCGAGCTGGTGGAGTCCAACTGCGGGGCCTCGCCGCTGACCCTCTCCCCCATGTCGTCCGCCACCGACCCCTGGCACCTGGATCACCTGGATTCAGGTAAAGTCTTCAGCAACCTCAGGCAGGTTGCTTCATTTCTTTAAACCTCAGTCTCTTGGGACTATGGAATGGATTTAATAACAGAACCTCACTGGTAATGTCATTGGAGGATTAAGAAAGGGCAAAGGAACGTTGTGAGTACGGAGTTCTCAGGGCAGCACTTAGCACATCTGAAATACTCAGGGCCAGAAATAAATAAGTTGAAGGTAAAGAATGTAGGAAGTATTAACTCTTCAATTAGGTTAAATGATGACTTGCCTAAACTGATGTCTGCGCCATGACTGTGGGTGATTTGATCAATTCACTGTCTCACTTTTGCCTCTTATGACTCTTAATGACTTGCTGTAACATAATCTGTGTTTTAATTTAAGAAGAGATTTACCTAAAGCAATATAGAGATCCGTCTCCTGGCTCTGTATTTATATGAATAATACTGGTGGCTTCCAGATCTTTAAGAGGTGCCTTTAAGCTTGCAAAACTCTGTGGATTTAGTCCCACTTCTTTGAGTGGGAAGACATGTAATTTGAAAGCACAGGGCTCAAATGAAAGGATGTAGCTGTTGGCTGAAAAATTAATTGGATGAAAAGAGTATACACATAACCCTGGGTGGGAGACAGCCTATTAAGCTGTATCTCAGGAGACTTAGGTCGTACTCCTAGCTCCACCTAAATTGGCCTTGGGCAACTCAAGTGACCTGCCCAAGCCTCTGCTTTTTCACCCATAAGGTGAAGAAGGGGAGGGGAGTGTAACCTCTAAGTGACCTCCGAATCCAACATTCAGTGGGTCTCCAGGCAACATGTGATGTTGCTGAAGCTAAAAAGAGGAAGAAGATGAGGCAGGAAGCAACAGCTAGGAGGCCTGGATTCCAGCACCATCACTGCCTCTCACCAGCAGATTAACCTTAGGCAGTTTTCATAACCTCATTCCTCAGTTTCCCCACTTCCTAAATGGAGATAAGACCTAACCCTTGGAATTCTATTTAAAGTGATGTGTTTAAATCTGACGTGTTTTATCACAAGCGTTAAAGTTTAGCTACAATAATATTAATAATCTAATATTATTATATTAGACACAATTTGCTATAATGCTTGAACCTTGAGTAAAGACTTCCAAATCCTCTCCCCCTGCAAACTTGTAATTTGTAACAGTTCATTCTCTAAACCTCGTGCATTTGATTGCTTTAATCATGTTCCGGCCCTGCACATGGAGTGTGTGGCTTCAGTGCAGCCATTGTCATTGTGATTCCTTGCCAGGGCTGTGCTGCAAAGCTTTGTGAAGCTTAGAGAGAAGCCAAAATTGCCCTGTTGTCAGAATAACCCATTTACAGACGAAACAATCCTCTTTGTTCCTCACACATGGATTCCTAGAACTTGACGCGGGGCGCTGTGAGCTAAGGGCACGTATGAAGAATTCCCTTTTATGAATGTTGTTAAGATTACACAGTGGGCTGGCTTGAACAAAGGAAAGCATTCCTAATGCTGAAAGAAGAAAAGTAAGAGTGAAAATACAAGAGGAGAAAAGACATGTCAGGGCCACAGAGGAACAGAGATCTCTCAGATAAATTCCTCCAAATGCCCGAGTAGACAAATACCGTGAATGATCTTTGCAAGGCAGGAGTCCTTCCGCTGTCAAAGGGACCCACTGCCTGAGGCTGTGAGCACCTGTGGTCTGAGTCAGGGCCAATAGACTAGTTTCTAAAACATCTAGATCCTACCTTGGGCCAATATGAGTTTTATGTATTATTACTTAATTAGGAACTTGTTTGTTAAGATCTGTGAGATATGACTGTAGGGACCAAAGAGTTTTTGTTCCTTTACTTTAAAAAAATCATGCTTTGAGTGTGACAGGTTTTTTTTTTTTTTTTTTTTTTTTGGAGACAGACAGAGTCTCACTCAGTTGCCCATGCTGGAGTACAATGGCACCATTGCAACCTCTGCCTCCTGGGTTTAAGCGATTCTCCTGCCTCAGCCTCCTGAGTAGCTGGGATTACAGGCACCCGCCATCATGCCCACTTAATTTTTGTAGAGACAGGATTTCACCATGTTGGCCAAACTGGTCTTGGACTCCTAACCTCAGGTGATCCACCCGCCTAGGCCTCCCAAAGTGCTAGGATTACAGAGTGCTAGGATTACAGGATTCTTTTGATTGATTTATGAAAATGTATATAGGGAACATATCTGTATTTGATGTTCAAATCCAAATTCTGTAATTCTGATATTATGGTAGGCCTGTGCTATGTAACATGAGATCCATTTGCAGAAAAATTTCCACTTACACTTGGAGAGTTCTTACCCAGTGTCCAGCAGATGAAGTATTAATGCAATTGTCATTATACCAATTACAAGGACAGAAAACAGTTGACCGGGCTCGGTGGCTCACATCTGTAATCCCAGCATTTTGGGAGGCTGAGGTGGGTGGATCATGAGGTCAGGAGTTCGAGACCAGCCTGACCAACACGGTGAAAGCCCGTCTCTACTAAAAATACAAAAATTAGCTGGGCGTGGTGGCGCACGCCTGTAATCCCAGCTCCTCAGGAGGCTGAGGCAGGAGAATCGCTTGAACTTGGGAGGCAGAGGTTGCACTGAGCTGAGATGGTGCCACTGCAAGACTCTGTCTCAAAACAAAACAAAAAAACAACAGAAAACAGTTTACAAACTATAAGGCAGAGGTTTATTGAAATAATATGATTTTCCTCTTTTAGGTGAATAGGAACATGAGAGACAATGTGGGTTGAGGGGCTGGAAGGGGCAGAGGACAGACGTAGAAATGAGGGAAGGTTACTTAACAGCAGCCTCTGGTTGCTCAGTGTCAGGGAGGAAAAACTTTTCCTCTGTCCTCTTAAGTTCAGTACCTGGGGGCCTGCAAATTAAGCTGATAAAAGACAGATTAACAGGTGGGCAGGGGGACCTTATTTATATGCATATAGGAGCTTGAAAAAGAAGAAACTCAGTAAGTAGTTAAAGCTAGAAACTTATATGCCCAGCTTAGTAGGGAAAAGAGGCAGTGGGGGAAAAGGCCTCTATAGGAGGAACAGATGGATTTCTAGAAGAACAAATGAGAGATAAAGAGTTTGTGATAGTGCTTGTTCATGCAGGCCTGAGTGATCTCTGTATCTCATTCATGGCCATAAAACTTCCCTGGAGAGAGGACTTACGGTAGGTTTCTTGATCATCTTCCTGGGAGTAAAAGCCACCCGTAAGAGGGAGGTATGGCAGCCTCATTTTTCCAGAAGTCTCTGCTTTTTGTCAGATAAAGGAAGCACCAAGAAGGCTTCTTTCTGCACCTATTGAATCCCCAGTGGCTTCAGTTTAAAATGAGTTCCATACCAACTCGGGTTCTAAGTGCATCCCTCACATCAGCAATTGCACTCTGGTTTCGTGAGCCTAAGGTCATCATTCTGAATTTGGACTTTACGGTTTTGCACTTTTCTGGTAATATTTCATGTTTGACTAGAATAAGATTCCTTGCTATCAGATATTTAAAAACAAAACAGTATATACACAAAAATGCCTTTCTACCTGTAAATAACGTGAGGTACTTGAGTCTGTGTAGGGTTAGGATGGAAAGAAAATAACATGAGAGCTCGTGAGTCCTGGCTTGACTAGAGGACATTTGGAAGTAGATTATCTCATCTGGTGCCTTGGAAGTTTATTCCTCAACAAGCAGCAATGGGTCTCCTGGAAGCTTTTTTAGAAATGCAGAATCTCAGGCCCCTCCCCATACTGACTAAATCAGCATTCGTGTTTTTTAGCATGGTTCCCAGGTGACTTACCACTGCAATTTAAAAGCTCTAATCTTGTATAGTGCTTCTCAATCTGGGAAGCACTTTAAAACTACCTGGGGAGCTTTTTAAAACCCAAAACTACCTGGGGAGCTTTTTAAAACCCTGATGTCAAGACTATACTTCTGTCAGAGGTGTCTGAACCAGAGCAACTCCATCTCGAATAGGGGCTGGGTAAAATAAAGCTGAGACCTACTGAAAACTGGTTGCAGTAAAGAAGCCAGCTAAAACCATCAAAACCAAGATGGCAATGAGATTGACTTCTGGTCATCCTCACTGCTACACTCCCATCAGCACCATGACAGCTTATAAATGCCATAGCAATGTCAGGAAGTTACCCTATAGGGCCTAAAAAAAGGGGAGGCATGAATGATCCACCCCTTGTTTAGCATATAATCAAGAAATAACCATAAAAATGGGCAACCAGCAGCCCTTGGGGCTGCTCTGTCTGTGGTGTAGCTATTCTTTTATTCCTTTTTGTTTTATTATTATACTTTAAGTTTTAGGGTACATGTGCACATTGTGCAGGTTAGTTACATATGTATACATGTGCCATGCTGGTACGCTGCACCCACTAACTCATCATCTAGCATTAGGTATATCTCCCAGTGCTATCCCTCCCCCCTCCCCCCACCCCACAATAGTCCCCAGAGTGTGATGTTCCCCTTCCTGTGTCCATGTGTTCTCATTGTTCAATTCCCACCTATGAGTGAGAACATGCGGTGTTTGGTTTTTTGTCCTTGCGATAGTTTACTGAGAATGATGATTTCCAATTTCATCCATGTCCCTAGAAAGGACATGAACTCATCATTTTTTATGGCTGCACAGTAGTCCATGGTGTATATGTGCCACATTTTCTTAATCCAGTCTATCATTGTTGGACATTTGGGTTGGTTCCAAGTCTTTGCAATTGTGAATAGTGGAGGAGGAGAGGTGCTCTGCTTTTTAGAGTTTCCAGTTTTTCTGCTCTGTTTTTTCCCTATCTTTGTGGTTTTATCTACTTTTGGTCTTTGATGATGGTGATGTACAGATGGGTTTTTGGTGTGGTTGTCCTTTCTGTTTGTTAGTTTTCCTTCTAACAGACAGGACCCTCAGCTGCAGGTCTGTTGGAGTTTGCTAGAGGTCCACTCCAGACCCTGTTTGCCTGGGTATCTGCAGCGGTGTTTGCAGAACAGCGGTTTTTCGTGAACTGCGAATGCTGCCATCTGATCGTTCCTCTGGAAGTTTTGTCTCAGAGGAGTACCCGGCCATGTGAAGTGTCAGTCTGCCCCTACTGGGGGGTGCCTCCCAGTTAGGCTGCTCAGGGGTCAGGGGTCAGAGACCCACTTGAGGAGGCAGTCTGCCCATTCTCAGATCTCCAGCTGCGTGCTGGGAGAACCACTGCTCTTTTCAAAGCTCAGATGGAAATGCAGAAATCACCCATCTTCTGCGTCGCTCATGCTGGGAGCTGTAGACTGGAGCTGTTCCTATTCAGCCATCTTGGCTCCTCCTATTCTTTTATTCCTTTACTTTCCCAATTGATACAGTTTGACTATGTCCCCACCCAAATCTCATCTTGAATTCCCATGTGTTGTGGGAGGGACCTGGTGGGAGGTAATTGAATCATGGGGGCAGGTCTTTCCATGCTGTTGTCGTGACAGTGAATAAGTCTCACAAGATCTGATGGTTTTATAAAGGGGAGTTTCCCTGCACAAGCTCTCTCTTTGCCTGCTGCCATCCATGTAAGACATGACTTGCTCCTCCTTGCCTTCCACCATGATTGTGAGGCCTCGCCAGCCGTGTGGAACTGGGAGTCCATTAAACCTCTTTCCTGTATAAATTACCCAGTCTCAGGTATGTGTTTATTAGCAGCATGAAAACAAACTAATACACTAATAAACTTGCTTTCACTTTACTCTATGGATGCACCCTAAATTCTTGGATCTTGCGTGAGATCCAAGAACCCTCTCTTGGGGTTTGGATCAGGAACCCTTTCTAGTAACACTTCCATGCACCATTTCTATAGTTTCTTACCAGAGAAGTTTCTCTGAACATGTGGAGCACCGGAAACCACGAGGAGGCGGCTCAGCATTCACTCCTGAGCATGAAGCTGGCTCTTGGTGGTGCTTCTCTGCAATTGCCTTTTGCTGCTGATGATCACTCTTCTCTTCCTTTGGGAGAGTGAAAGGGAAAGGAAGCCATCTGAAGGGTCTTCATGGTTATTTTTTAAAAAGAAAAATCCCAATATCTAGTACTAAACCCCTGACGGACCAAATCAGACCCTCGGGGGGATAGGAGGGACACAGGTGTGTGTGATGTAAACCCCCCTCCCCAGGAGTGTCCAGTGTGTGACCAAGGTCAAGAATCACTCACCAAATGAAAGAAGGGTCCCTTTGGTAAGTGCATCAAAATAAGGTTACCAAAAGAAAAAACTGAATACCCAAATACTGCCCAAAACATGGTTTATGAAAAACAATAAAGCCGTTAGGTGGTTAAATCACAAATAGTAAAGGCTGTACCATCAAGCTTGCAAAGAGACCAGGCTCTCCGGCCATTTTATAAGGAAGCTCACTCAGAGGAGATGTTTTTACCTAAACTTGAGGAGAACTGATCTGCCTGTTTGCAACTGGAAAGCAGACTTGAAACAAACAAATGAACAATAAATTTGCAGTGTGGGGCAGGACTCGGTGGCTCCAGTGAAAGCACCTCATTATGAGGAAGATGTGAAATTATTACTGTGTTTTGAATTGGCTGCTAACCTACTCTGAAAGATAGAAAAAGATGCTGCTTTAAAATGAGGGCTGTGCTTTTCTGAAAATACAGCAGGTGCCTTGCTGTGAAGAGTAAGGAATCATATGGCCTTATGGTTAAAGGGATCTTGGCAAACCAGGGCTACTCAATCCATACCTATACCAGGATGTTTGCATACCTATACCAGGATGTTTGTTTTGCAGGAACTTGGTGTTAGAATGGAAATTAGAATTGAAGACATCTACCCATAGGTCTGGTGATCTTTCTGCTCCCATACCTGTCTTTCTACTGTCTGAGATCATAGTAAATGATAAAAACAGAAAATAGGTTCTAAGGTATGCTGGCTTTAGTAATAAGATTCTTTTTCTCATCTGTAACACTACTGTTACACTTCTATAACAAACACTATTTGTTACCTCTCCAATGTCCTTTGGGCTCTATCAGTGTTTTCTAAAATGAGGGACATTTATGTTGGTCAGGTTGTGCACTGCACAACTATAACAGATGTCATTTGTAGTGCAGTCTCTGGCTTCTGGAGCAGTGCAGCATGTAGCCTAGATAGGGGGTCGCCATTATGGGAAGCAAATAGACATGGCCTCGTGTAACATACAAAGCAAGTCATTTCCTGTTCATTTGTCTTTCAGTCCTTCTGATTTTATAAAGAGAAAGTCTCTATTTGGTTCTGGCACGCTTTTAACACCTCTCCCATGATTGTATTTTACCTTATAATAAAGAGAGAACAGGCTTCTGGTTAGTGCCTCACAGGCAATAGAATTACTCAGTAGGGATGTAAAGTTTTATCAATAGATTTATATAAATAAGAAATTTAACCAATTTTGTGAAAATAAGTAAATAAATAATACTTGGATTTTACAGTATATGTCAAGAAAAATATGAAGGTGATTTTCACATGATTGGAGTTTGGGAAACACTGGGCAGTAGAGAAAGATCACCCCAAGCGCTAGGGCCTAGCATGGGGCTTTAAGAACACATTTTTATAGGGGGATGAGGTAAACAAAAGACTTACACATTATGATTTAAGTTGACTTGATTTAAAACAATTCTGCTCTATTGGAAACATCCAATCTTTTTTTCTTCTAGTTATTTCCCTCTTTGATAATAAGTACAGCCTGTTTCTAAACCATTATATGGTCCTTAGGAATATTTTTAGAACAGTAGTTACAAGGTAGAAAAAGTAACCCCCAGCCCTGAGTTAAGGTTTATTTTAAGGTCACAGAATGCCAGGCAATTGCCGTGATTTACCTCTCAGAATTATGGACTCTGTTGTGTTTCTTCCTTTTTGTCTAATTTAGGGAATCTTATTTGCTTGGAATGAAAAGGATTTGCCAGCAGGAAGACAGCCACAGATGGCAGTGCACATTCTGTAAAATACAAAAACAAAACAAACACCAGAAAAAATAAATCCAAGAGTCTGATCCCATAAATTTCTGCACTAAGGAGCAACTCCAAACTGCACACCAAGCTGCTTTAAAAGGCGTTTGTGTTAAGCCTTAGAGTGTTTTATCACATTCGTGATATTTGATACAGAATACGTCAGACCAAAAGCCACATCCTAGGATCTTCTTTAAAATATCATTAAAATAGATGAAGCATTTTAAGATGTAAAGTTTCATTTCCTAAGGGATCCTCTAGTTGTAAAGATTGCAGCTAGTTGTTGTTGTTATTATTATTTGAGATGGAGTCTCGCTCTGTCACTAGGCTGGAGTGTAGAGGCGTGATCTCGGCTCACTGCAACCTCCACCTCCGGGGTACAAGCAATTCTACTGCCTCGGCCTCCTGAGTAGCTGGGACTACAGGCACGCACCACCACACCCAGCTAATTTTTGTGTTTTTAGTAGAGACGGGGTTTCACCATGTTGGCCAGGATGGTCTCGATCTCTTGACCTCGTGATCCGCCCGCCTCAGCCTCCCAAAGTGCTGGGATTACAGGCATGAGCCACTGCGCCTGGCCACAGCTAGTTATTTTAAAGGACTTCTAGTAGGTCCAGGCTAGATTCTCAGCAAAGTTTGCATGGTATGTGATGTGTGGTGCATCTCACCCCAGAAAGGACCTGGGAGTCCTTCTGTAAATTGCTAGCAGGTGAATTCACAGCATCCACTGTAACCTTAAGTTATCTGGTTCTCTGCCCTAACGCTAACCTGCATCTGACACTGGGAGGTCCTTGACCAGGAATTCTCACAGCTCCTCCAACAGGGAAGTGGGTAGGAGATGGAAAATTCAGAAGCAGGAGTGGAGGGAAGGGAGTTAACACCCAATTCTCCACCTCCCCCAGAACCAAGGCCAGGATTGTCAAGAATCCAGGGTTGAGAATCCCCTGCCAAGCTGGTCCAGTGGATTCACTCAGGTTGGCAGAGTGGCTGAAAACCAGCCCTCTTAGGCACGTGGGTCTTCTCCCAGATATATTAGGAACTAGATGGAACTTGGCACTTGGGATCACTCAGTGTAACAACCCCATACCCCCATTAGACTTGAGTATACCCAGCACTGAGCTAGGAACTCACTCAGGCTTCCCGTCACCACATCGGACACTTTACCACTGGCCACAGATTGGTTTCTGAAGACCTCTTACCTCCATCGTTATGACTTCTAAGTTGATTTCTGTCTATATTCCAAGTTTCCTTTCTATCATCTGGCCATAAAATATTTTTATATCTTCATGTGCAAAGAGTTATGGATATAAAGAACTTTTTAAAATTACATATATCATCTATTCTGTTTTCTACCTAACTACAAGCTGATCATTGGTTTTCTTTACCACCTGCAAGCACTTAAAAGTAATCATTCCTGCTCTTATAATTACATCTGAATTATTTCTGAACAGATCCCTTTTCTCTCCTTATGCTAAGACTGCATGATTAATGCATTTTTATCTCTCACACTCAGTCTTTTTATTATGTTATTTGTCTTTTTCCCTCTTCAGTCACCAACACAGTTCACACTTAATCGTGTGAAGAAAAACTATCATCCCTTGCTTGCTAATGTGCATTTTCCTGCAAAGATCCAAATTCCACTTTTCCTGCAAAAACACCAAGCGCATTTATGTATCTCAAATCAACTATGGTATTAGTCTTACCTATTTTTGCCTGGTCATTTTAGTTGTATCCCACCTTTTGTTTCTACAGTGTTTTCATAGAAAATCAGTTTCTACAGTGTTTTCATAGAAAATCACATTGTATCCATGATTTTGTTGAGTCAAAGGATATGTGTGTTTTTAATTTTGATACTACTACAAACCATCCTCTAATGATATAATCCGATTGACAGTCCAGCAATCTATGAATACCTTTTCCCCACATCCTCACCAAAACAGTGCATCATATTATTCTTTTAAATGTGGCTGTTCTATATGAAAAATAAAATTTTCTTGTTATAGTTTGTATTTCATTAATTATGAGTTGGGTTAAGTATCTTTGCATATGTTTATATATCATTTATATTTATTTTTCCATAAACTCCCTCTTTATATTCTTTGCTCCAATAATTATTTATATCTTTATATTCTTTCCTATTGATTTATAAGTATTCTTAATATATTAAGTAAATTAGTATTTTTAATGTTTTCCTTGTTTCATCTCAATTTTTTTGAATTTATGGGATTTTTTTTTCCATGTAAAAGTTACTAAATTTTACATGGTGAAATGTAAAGTGTTTTATGGCTTTTGGGTTTTGTGACATACCTTCTCCATTTAGAACTTATTTTTTAAATTATTCCATGTTTTTTATAATAATTTTGTGTTTTATTTGTAAGTTCTACGTATTTTCTTCCCTGGAAATTTATTTGGGTGGAAGGTGGAAGGTAAAAATCTCACTTTATTTTTTCCCAAATGGCCCACTGTTCCAGCCCCATTGGTTGAGGCTCCATCCTCTCCACCTTTACCATCTTCTAAATTCCCTTCATTTCTGAGTCCCTACTGGACTCTCTGGTCTATTACATTGATATGATGCCTTGTGACATGGGAGCAAACTGCAGTACTTATCATTGAGCTTTTATTATCACATTTAGTGGCTCATAGAGCTAATTTCCCTTTTTTTCTGAGTTTTTTTTCCCAGAATTTTCCTGTTCATCCTTGCACATTTGCTTTTCCCATGTGGATTTGAGAATTTTAATCATTTTATTGGAATTGTTTAAAATTTTTACTGGGATTAAGGTTTATGTATAAGTTCATTACCTGGTGATGCCCAGTTACACCATGCGTGTCTTCTCCATCTCTCTCCAAGTTGCGAAATGATTCAGATAAGTGTCATCCAGATTTTAATGTGCTTAGAATCACCTGGGGGAAATTAGCAAATGCAGATTCAGCTGGTCAAACATGGGATTAGAGATTCTGCATTTCCAACAAGCTCCCAGGTGCTGCTGATGCAGCGGGTCCCTGGAACACACTGGGAGTGGCAAGGAGATAAGCAGCCTTGAGGCACTGCCTCTGGTAGATTTCATAGGTTTCCCCTGGAAAACCACTTGAGCCCACTGCTTCTTGTGGGAGCAGATCTTTGACAACTCTCTCAAGTTATTTTATGATAATCTGTCTAATTAGATTTTCTTTCTCATCTAGGATAATACCCGTTATTTTATCTTTTTCTAGAAATTCGTGCATTTAACCTAGGTTTTCAAACTCATTACTGTGGAGTTGAACAGAAACTTGTTAATAATTTAATTTCCATTCCCTTTTTCGTGTTTTTTATATTGAATGTTTCTGTTGACCCCCCCCCCTTATTGATTAGATTATGTGGCTTTTTTTTTTTCTTTTCTCAAAGAACCAGCTCTTAGATTTATTTGTCAATTCTTTGTTTTCTTTCTACTGTCGTGTCTTCTTTAAATTTATATTTGCTGGCCTCTAACTTTCTAATTTGAATGTTTGGCTCTCTCTCTTATTTTCCTTCTTGGTGGGGTGTGTGTATCATGGTCTTATAAGAATGTGAACCGAAGTCAACAAATCTTAAACTCCAGCCATGCTCTCTTCTGACCACACCTCTGCTGCCCCAGCCCCGCCTCCAGGACTGCACCCTCCAGATGTAATTGACACCAATGGCTTGCACTAGACTTTTTGCTAAGGGACCTGAAAAGAACTTAGAGGCTGGCGTAAGTTGCCAAAGCCTTCCCACATCACTGAGAGAATAGACTTGGCAGGCTTGTGTTTTGAAAAGCAGTTGGGGGTGCGCTCTGTCAAGGCTCAGCCATGATGAAGAAATAATCAAAGAGCAAAACGTCACTTAAGTGGCTAAACATGACTGGCAGCAGGGTTGGATTCCCCTTCAGCATCGAACACCTCACAGGCCATCCTCTGTGTAGACGGGCTGCTTTCTAGTGGCTCCACAGGCCTGGCCGTGTCAGGGGCTGCCTTTATTCAAAGACTTCTGTTCTGTCTTAACCAGGATCACTTAACTCTCTGAAACTCCAGTGATAAAAAAGCAAAACCGGCACAAACATACAGCTTTGGAACTATCTCCAAGGTCATTGTTTTTTCCCCTGCCGCGAATTTCTTTCATTCCTAATTTTCCTCTACCTTTCTTTCCCTTCATCCCCTACGATAGATTTTGAACCCCAGGGAGGTTAGGACTCTGTCCCGTTCTTCTCCCTGGGCTGTCCACCCTCCGACCCCCACCCCACCTGGCATGGCACTCAAAGGTGCATTTTCCTGGGGTCTGTGCATGGAAATCATTGCAGCTGTCAGCCTGTGTCACGTGGGGCTGGCTAAGTGCGGGGCAACGCGGTTGTACATGTTGCCATGGTGACTTCTCTGTTGATGGCAGAACCACTGACTCCAGCAAGTCACAGTATTCATTTTTGCGTCATGCTCGTGCTACAGGAATGCTATGAGTAGCCCATGAAAAGGGAGGCGAGTTGAGCTCAGTGTTATCCCTTGACTTGTGTGTCTTTCCTTACCCCCAGCGATCCCCCATTCAGATGCTTCCTACTGTACCGCATTTTTGAGTATTCTTCAGTATCATGCTTCTGTTACAGCACCATATCACTCAGCTATGGAAGCACTCAGAGGAGCACAACACCCTCTAAATTATCCGCCATCACTTCTTTTACGGCCTCATTTAAAAAGACAATTGTCAGAATTCCCAGGTGTGAATTCTCACAGGGGAATCTCTGTCAGTCACCACCTGGAAATGTTAGTTCCACCTCTGCTGGCCAATCAGCACCTCATGTCCTTGCTATGATCTCTACAGTTGCAGAAGCATTATCCTGATGAGGTTTTTAACACATCACCACATGCTTTTCAGAGAAAAGTCCTTTTATAAATACCAATAACTAAACATGATAAATTGCTTCACTCCTTTGAGATCTTTGTCTGATTCCACGTGCTCTGCATAGACTATTCAGAAATTCTAAAGACGGATGCAGATTCCTAATTCTGCTGTTGAGTTTGTTCCTGAGAGCAACGCTGAAAGACTTTTAAAAAATTAAAATCAGCTTTATGTTGAAATGTAATTGTACATAAATAGCCATATGAATGTGGGGTACAGTTATTTTAAACATAGAAAATAAGATGAATTGTTTTGGAAATTCCCCTTTAAACATGCTAAAATGATTTTCAATCATTGACGGGAATTTTAACTTTTAGAAAACTGGAAAGGATACAGACAAAAGTAGTGATAACTTAAATTTGTAAACTATTTTATTTGTTGAAATGCTTTAATGCATGATTTTGTTTTATCCTGGAATGGCCACATGTGGTAGGCAAAGTGGACATTATCAGCCACATTTTAAAGATAAGGAAAATGCAGCTCAGAGAAAATAAATGTATTCATTCCCTCAGCAAACACTGACTGGGTGGCCACAGAAGTGCGGTGCACAACCCTGGCTGCACATCAGTCACCTGGGGAGCTTTTCACAAATCCCAATGCCTGTTCCCCATCCCAGAGGATTCCTGGTGTGCATCAGGATTGTGAAGCAATGGGGACTGAGTTTATAGCACCTTACTCTAAAGTATGC
Source organism: Homo sapiens (assembly GCF_000001405.40). Classification (NCBI taxonomy): domain Eukaryota; kingdom Metazoa; phylum Chordata; class Mammalia; order Primates; family Hominidae; genus Homo; species Homo sapiens. The sequence continues at coordinate 148,397,362 of NC_000007.14, forward strand.
AGAGACTAGCATTATGAAGTGGAAAATGCATATATTTCAGATTCAGTTATTTTTTTCCCACTATTCCTTCCTCTCAATGAAAATTTTGGAGTAAAACATATAATTCCAGTTCTTTATTCTGAACTGTCTTACTATTTTCTATCACCCTTTAAATATAATGCAGAAGTCTGGAAGGATATGTAATTTGCATACCTGTTGGTGAAATCCCTGCTACTAAATACACTTTGCTTTTTCTTGTTCCACATTCCCCTTTTCGACAGGGAATAAATCATCCCCAAGGCTGCTAGAGCCAATTAAATATTTTTTCACACTCCGTTGACATGAATGAGAAGAACTGTGACAGAGCCACACGGCTCATGCCAGGACTTTATCACGCTATCTTTATAATGATGTGAGCCAGGCACCAGGGAGG